>NC_000004.12:135891077-136194108 GCF_000001405.40 Homo sapiens | reverse complement strand
ACAATAAGCATTAAGGTGTACTATTCTGATAAATTTTACATTTTTACCAAAAACTGTGAAAGATGTAATAGTATGGGTAGGCCAGGCACGGTGGCTCAGGCCTGTAATCCCACCACTTTGGGAGGCCGAGGCGTGTGGATCATGAGGTCAGGCATCTGAGAACAGCCTGGCCAACATAGTGAAACCCCGTCTCTACTAAAAATACAAAAATTAGCCGGGCGTGGTGGCAGGCGCCTGTAATCCCAGCTACTCAGGATGCTGAGGCAGGAGAATTGCTTAAACCTGGGAGGCGGAGGTTGCAGTGAGCCGAGATCGCGTCACTGCACTCCAGCCCGGGTAACAGTGCGAGACTCCGACTTAAAAAAAAAAAAAAAAAGGATGAGTAATGACTACATTTCTTGTGAGGATTGCTCTAGTCATTCCACGTTATAATGAAAAAGTAATGGCAAAAATGGAGAGAAAACATTAATTCTTCTTCCAATTATGCAGTACAGTTATCTCATCATGGAACTACCATTCACGTCTGAAAAAGTGAAAAGGATAAAAAGAGAAAAAATGGATAAGAATACCTCCCCTCTTTGATTCATTTACCTGGTTTGAAGGAAGCAAACAACCAAGCTCAAAACAAAGGAAAAAAAGTTACTTCTGTATCCACTAACTCAAAATATAAGATAATATAAACAACTCAGTCTCTTGAATTCATCTCTTCAATAATTTATTTCATGAGCAACAGGCAAGAGTGACATGAGCATAGAACTGAAAACATTTTGGTAATACTTATATCTTATATGGAATAGAGAATATAAGATAACAAAAATTTTATTGATTAGTTCTCTTCATGTCTTGAAATATTTTTCCCAGGGATTACCTTAAAAATTTTTCTACTAACATAGAAAAGTGAGTCAATATTGACTTGAAAATTGCCTCTCTAGGTATAAAACCCCATAATTATAAAAAGTAAGATATATATCCTTCCTTCTGTAGAAATTATATCTTTATATAAATACAATCAAGCAGAAAAAAAAATCCTGATTTTGAGGTAAGTAGTAGATTTGTTTTCTAATCCTGGATCTAGCATATGCTATCTATGGGAATTGGGAGCATAAGTTCTATGACTTCATTTCCTTCTTACCAGCTCTGCAATTATAGCATGATTTGTGAAGCTTAAATTACATTTATGAATATATACCTAATAAAGATAGTAATTATTAACAGTTTTATTGATATAATTCATATACATACAATTGACTCATTTCAAGTATACAATTCAATGGTTTTTAGTATATTCACAGATCTGTTCAACTACATGTATTCAACCATTCACAGATAGGATGAACCAAATGAATTTTAGAATATTTTTAACACCTCCAAACAAAACCCAATATTTAGCTATCACCCGTTGCACTACCCACCTTAGATCTAAGCCACCAAAATATTAATGTCTCTACAGATTTGCTTATTCTGGACATTTCATATAAACGAGATTATATAACATGTTTTGTGACTGCTTTTTCAATTAGCATAATGTTTTCAAGGTTCATCCGTGGCATACTATGTATTAGTATTTCATTCCTTTTATATAGCTTCATAATATTCCATTGTATTGATAAACCACATTTTTTAATCCACTCATCATCTGTTTGTTCATTCATCAGCTGATGAAGATTTGTGTGGGTTTCACTTTTGGGATATTATGAATAATGCTACCATAAACATTTCTGTGGAGGTTTTTATGTGGACATATTTTCATTTCTATTGGGTATATATATATATATATGTAGGTAGAATTGGTAGGGTAAATAATAATTCATTATTTAACCATTTTTGTAACTACCAGACTGTTTTTAAAGTGACTGCACAATTTTACATTCCCATCAGCAACACATAGATGTTCTGATATATTCACAAGTTTGCTAACACTTGTTATTGTATATCAGACATTCTGAGTCTAGCCTTCAAAATGGGTAAGGAGTAGTATCTCATTATAATTTTCATTTGAACTTCTTTGATAATTAATGATTCCAAGCATCTTTTAATGTGGTGGCCATTTGTATATCTCCATTTAAGAAATTTCTATTCAAATCCTTGACCATTTTTTATTGTTTTTTAAAATTATTGAGTCTGGTATGTGTGTATGTGAGATACTCACACACGCACACACACACACATATAACATAATATCTATATTTTATTTCCTATCAGATAAATGGTTTACAGATATTTTCTCCAATTCTATAGGTTGTCTTTAAATTAATTTTTACTTTTTTATTTCCATTTTTAATTTTTGTGGGTACAAATAGATATACATATTTATGAGGTACATGAGCTATTTTGATAAGGAAAAATGATGCACAACAATCACATCAGGGTAAATGGAGTATCCATCACCTCCAGCACTTATCCTTTCCTTGTGTTACAAATAATCCATTTATACTCCTGTAGTTATTTTAAAATGTACAATAACTTTTGTTGACTGTAGTCAACAAAACAACAGGGTGTAGTCACCCTGTTGTACTATCAAATATCAGATCTTATTAATTCAATCAAACGATATTTTTGTACCCATTAACCATCTCCCTCCCACTCATTACCCTTCCTAGCCTCTAGTAACCATCTTTCTACTCTCTGTCTTCATGAGTTCAATTGTTTTAATTTTTTTAGCATCCACAAATAAGTGATAATATGTTCGGTTTTCTTTCTGTGACTGGTTTCTGAAACCACTTAACATAATGACCTTAAGTTCTATGTAGTTCACTTAACATAATGACCTTAAGTTCTATGTAGTTGCAAATGACAGGATCTCATTCTGTTTTACGGCTGAATAGTACACCATTGTGTATATGTACCACCTTTACTTTATTAATTCATCTGTGGGTAGACACACTTAGGTTGCTTCCAAATCTTGGCTGTGGTGAATAGTCCTGCAATAAACATGGGAGTGCAGGTACCTCTTCAATATATTGATTTTTCTTTTGGGTATATACCTAGCAGTGGGATTCCTGTATCATATGGCAATTATATTTTTAGTTTTTTGAGGAACCTCCAAACTGTTACCCATAGGGGTTATGCTAATTTACATTCCCATCAACAGTGTACAAGGGTTTCCTTTTCTTCACATTCTTGCCAAAATTTATTATTGCCTATCTTTTGAATAAAAGCTATTCTAATTGGGGTGAAATGATACCTTATAGTTTTGATTTGCATTTCTCTGATAATCAATGATGTTGAACACCTTTTCATATACTTTTTTGGTATTTGTATATCTTCCTTTGAGAAATGTCTTTTCAGATCTTTTCCCCATGTTTTAATCTGATTATTAGATTTTTTCTTATTGAGTTATTTGAGTTATTATTCTTATTATTAATCCCTTGACAGACAGACGGTTTGCAAATAATTTCTCCCATTCTGTGGGTTGTCTCTTCACTTTGTTGATTGTTTAATTTGCTGTGCATAAGCTTTTTAACTTGATTTGATTCTATTTGTTCATGTTAGCTTTGGTCGTCTGTACTTGTGAGGTATTACTCAAGAAATCTTTGCCCAGTTCAATGTTCTGGGAAGTTTCCACAATGTTTACTTTTAGTAGTTTCATAGTTTGAGGTCTCAGACTTAAGACTTTAATTAATTTTGATTTGATTTTTTTATTATTTTTGATTTGATTTTATCTGGGGAGAGATATGGGTTTAGTTTCATTATTCTATATATGGGCATTCAGTTTTCCCAGCATCATTTATTAGAGAGACTGTACTTTCCACAATGTATGTTCTTGGCATCTTTGTCAGAAAAAAGTTCATTGCAGATGTGTGAATTTATTTCTGGGTTCTCTATTCTGTTTCATTGGCCTATGTGTTTGTTTTTATGCTAGTACCATGTTGTTTAGTTTACTAGAGCTCTGCAGTACAATTTGAAGTCAAGAAATGGGATTCCTCTGGTTTTGTTATTTTTGCTCAGGATAGTTTTGTCTATTCTCAGGCTTTTGCGGTTCCATATCAATTTTAGTATTATTTTTCTATTTCTCTAAAGAATATCATGCATATTTTGTTTGGAATTGCATTGAATTTGTAGATTGCTTTGGGCAATATGAATAATTAACAAATATAGACTCTTCCAATTCATAAATGTAGACTATCATTACACTTATTTGTGTATTCTTCAATTTCCTGCATCAATGTTTTATAGTTTACGTTGTCTAGATCTTTTACTTCTTTGGTTAAATTTATTCATTGGTATTTCAATTTATCTTTAGCTATTGTAAATGCAATTACTTTCTGGATTCCTTTTTCTGATAATCTGTGGTTGGCATATAGAAATTCTACTGATTTTCGCAGTTGATTTTGTTCCCAGCAACTTTAATGAATTGGTTTATCGGTTATAATCATTTTTTTTTTTGGTGGAGTTTTTAGGTTTTTCCAAATATAAGACTATATAATCTGCAAACAGGGATAATTTGGCTTCTTCTTTTCCAATTTAGATGCCCTTTTTTTCTTCCTCTTGTCTGATTGCTCTAGCTAAGACTTCCAGTATTATGTTGAATGACTGTGGTGAAAATAAGTATGCTTGTCTTGTGTCAGATCTTAAGATCTAAGGAGAAAGGATTTCAGTATTTTCGCATTCAGTATGAAACTAACTGTGGGTCTATCATATGTGACTTTTATTGTGTTGAGTTATGTTCTTTCCATACCCATCTTTTTGAGAGTTTTTGTCATAAAGGGAGGTTGAATTTTATCAAATGCTTTTTTCAGCATCAGTTAAAATTATTATATGGTTTTTGTCCTTCATTCTCCCACGTCGAGGGAGTGACCTGGTAGAAGGTGATTGGATCATGGAGGTGATTTCCCTCATGCTGTTCCGTGATAGAGAGGGAGTTCTCTTGAGAGCTGATGGTTTTAAGTGTAGCACATCCTCACTTTTTCTCTCTCCTTCTGCCATGTAAGATGTGCCTTGCTTCTTCTTTACCTTCCGCCACGATTGTAAATTTCCTGAGCCCTCCCCAGCCATGTGGAACTGTGAGTCCATTAAACCTCTTCTGTTTATAAATTATCCAGTCTTTGGTAGTATCTTTATAGCAGTGTGAAAATGGACTAATACATAAGTTTTTCACTGAGAAGTCTACTGCCAGACATTTTGTAGTTGCTTTGTATATTATTTGTTTCTTTTCTTCTGCTGCGTTCAGAATCATTTCTTTATTCTTGACTTGTGAGCTTGATTAAAATGTCTTGAGGTAGTCTTGTTTGGGTTAAGTCTGATGGGTGTTCTATAATCTTCCTGTACTTGAATATATATACCTTTTGCTGGATTTAGGAAGTTCTAAGTTATTATGTCTTTGAAGAAACTTTCTACTCAGATCACTCTGTCTACCTCCTCTTTAAGGCCAATAACTCTTAGATTTGCCCTTTTGAGGCTATTTCCTAGATAATGTGGGTATGTTCATTTTTTAATTCTTTTTTCTTATGTCTCCTCTGACTATATTTTCAAAAGCTTGTCTTCAAGTTCACAATTTCTTTCTTCTGCTTGATCACTTTTGCTATTAAGAGACTCTGAGGTATTAACCAGTATCTTGATTGTGTTTCTCAGCTCCAGATACTCTGCTTGATTCTTTTTGATTATTTGAATCTTTTTGGTAAATTGATAGGATTCTGAATTCCTTCTCTGTATTATCTTGGATTTCATTGAGTTTCCTTAAAAATAGCTATTTTGGATCCTCTGTCTAAAAGGCCTTCTATCTCAGATATTGGTCACTGGTGCCTTATTTAGTTTGTTTGGTGAAGTCCTGTTTTCTTAGATGATCTTGATGTTTATGGATGTTCATCTGTGTCTAAGCATTGAAGAGTTAGGCATTTATTGTAGTCTTTGCAGTCTGGGCTTGTTTGTACCTGTTCTTCTTTGGATGACTTTCCAGGTATTTAAAGGAACTTGGGTGCTGTGATCTAAGATTTTGGTCACTGTAGCAATATCTGCTTTAAGAGCGACTCCAAACCCAGTATTCCTATGGCTTTTGCGGACTCATAGAGATACTGATTTAGTGGTCTTGGGTAAGATCCAGAAGAATTCCCTGAATTATCAGGCAGAGACCCTTGTTATCTTCCCTCACTTTCCCCCCAAACAAAGGATCTGTCTTCTGAGCTGGCTGGAGCTAGGGGAGAGGTGACACACAAACCCCTGTGGCCACTATCATTGGAACAGTGCTGGTTCAGACTCAAGGAGAGCACAGCAATGGGTCTCACCCAAAGCTTGCAGTAACCACTGCCTGGTTACTGCATATGTTCATTCAAGGCACAAGGGCTAGACAATCAGCAGATGCCAAATCAAGCTAGGCTTGTCTTTCCCTTCAGGGTGATGTGTTGTCCCTGGATCCCTTTGGGCCTAGGGATGCCATCTGAAAGCCAGGGCCTGGGGTTTTGAACCTTAGCAATCTACCAAGTGCTCTAGTTTACTGGAGCTGAGCTGGCACCCAGACCACAAGGCAAAGTCCTTCCCACTCTTTATTCCCCTTTCCTCAAGCAAAGGAGTTTCTCCCCATGGCTGTCACTGCCCCAGGCCTGTGATGAATACTGTCTGGCTACTGCCAATGTCCACTCAAGGCCAAAAGGCTCCTCACTTAGCTTTCAGTGAATGCTGCCAGCCCTGCTTCTCTCCCGTGAGGGCAGTGGAGTTCCTTCTAGCCCAGGGAAAGTCCATAAATGCCTTCCAAAAGCCAAGGCCTAGAATCAGGGACCCCAGGTTCTTGCTTGGTCCTCTACCCCACTATGGCTAAGCTGGTACCCAAACTGAAATATTAAATTCTCCTTACTCTTCCCTCTCCTTTATTCAAGCAGAAATGGGTCTCTCCCCATAACCACCACAACTGGGAATGTGCTGGTTTACACCTGGAGCCAGCATGGCTCTGAGTCTCACCCAAGATCCTCAGCAACAACTGTCTGGCTTCCATAGCTGATCATTTGGGGCTCATGGGGTCTTTAATCAGCAGGTGGTAAAGTCTACCAGGACTGAGTTTTTCCCTTCCAGGCAGTTTTATCCCTTCTCACTCAGGGTGTGTCTAAAAATGTTATTGTGAACTAGGGCCTGGAATGGAGGCTTCAGGACTCTCTCTGGTACCCTATTCTGTGGCTGAGCTGGCATTGAAGTTGCAAGAAAAAGTCTTATTTACTTTCCTCTCTCCTCTCTTCAAGCAGAGGAAAGGAGTTTCTTCAAGGGCTATAAGCTGTGTTGCCTGTGGTTGGGGGAAGGGTAATACAAGCACTTTGCTGCCCTTACTGATGTCTCATTTTGTTGGGTGCACCCCAAACCACTGGTTTCGAGCCCAGCACAGTAACAGGACTTGTCCTTGTGGCCTAGAATACCTTTCCACTTTATTTAGGACCCAAGAATACTTTAGCCATGGTGGTAGGCTTAACAGAACTCAGGTTCTGACTGCTGGAATAGACAATTTACCTCCGGCTAGGACTGATCTAAATGTTCCCTGTGTGGGAACCAGCTAAGTTCTACCCTGTGTTTCTTTCTGTGGTGTTAGGCAGCACTGAGTTCCAATGTGAAGTCCTGCAATTATTACACTCTCCCTTCCCCAAGTACAGAGATTCTTTCTCCATGCCACAAGTCTGCTGCTGGGGGATGGGAATTGGGTGATGTCGGCAAATCAAGACTGTGTTTTCTAACCTCGTCAGTGTTTGTTTCCTTAATGTGATGGTAAAAGCAGGTAGTGTGATCACTCACCTGATTTTTTGTTGTTATGATGGTAATTTTTTTTGCATGAAGAGTTGTTCATTTTGGTGTTCCTGCTGGGAAGAAAATTGCTATTCTGCCATCTTACTCCACCCCCTGCCCCATCTTAGTTTTGAGATATCTTATGAAGCACAAAAGTTTCTAATTTTGATGTAGTCCCATTGATTTTTTTTTCCTTTGGTTATTTGTAGATTTTTGGTGATATTTAACAATCAATTGCTAAATTTCAGGTCAAAAGATTATTCATATAATCATTCTAAAAACTTTCTAGCTTGCTCTGACATGTACATCTTTATCCATTATCTATTTTGTTTGTTTATTTGTTTTAATATGGTGTGAGGTAAGGGTGCAAACTCATTTTTTGTCATGTGGTCACCTGGGTGTCTTACACCCATTTGTTGAAAAATTTATTTTTCCGCATGAATGGTCTCAATACTATTATTGAAAATCAATTGACTATAGACACATTAGTTTGTTTCTGGACTTTCAGTTCTATTCTATTGTTCTTTATGTTCATTCTTATGTCAGTACAAACTGCCTGGATTACTGTTATTGTCTAGGAAATTTTGACATAGATATGTGTGAGTGATTTAACTTTGTTCATTTTTAAGATTTTATTTATGGGTATTTTGGGTCCCTTACATTTCCATATGAATTTGAGAATGAATTTGTAAATTTCTGCAAAGAATTCAGCTAGGATTCTGATAGAATTTGCATTAATATACATCAATTTGTATAATATTGTCATTCTAATAATCAGTCCATGAATATGGATTGTTTTTCCATTTATTTAGATCTTTAAGTTATTTAACAAAGTTTTAAGGGTTAAGGTTACAAGTTTTGCACTTTTTTGTTAAATTTATTTATACATATTTTATTTTTGATGCTATTATATACAAAATTGCATTCTTAATTTCATATTCAGATTGTTCATTGCTAGTGTGTAGAAATAATATTGATTTTTGCATATTGATCTTGCATCTTGCAAACTTGCTGAGCTTGTTTATTACTTCTAAAAATGTTTACTGGATCCCATAGAATTTTCTATATTCAAACTATTGTCATCTGTGAATATAGATAGCTTACTTCTTCCTTTACAATTTAGAAGCTTTTACTTATATTTCTTTTCTAATTCCCCTCTCTAGAATCTCCAACAGTTTGTTGAATAAGAGTGGCAACTGTGGATACCTTAATTTTACTTCTGATGGAGAAAAGCAACTAGTTTTTCACCATTAAGTATAACTTAGCTGTAGTAAGTAAATGTTCTTTATAAGATTGAGAAAGTTTCCGTCTATATCCAGTTTGTTAAATGCTTTCACCATGCAAAGATATTGGATTTTGTCAAATACTTTTCCTGCATCTGTTGAAATTATCATCTGATTGATTTTCTATCTGTGGATAGAGTATATTTAATTAACTAATTTTCAGATATTGCGGTAACTTTGCATCTGTTGGATAAATCCCAAATGATTATGGTGTATAATTATTTTAATATATTGATGGATTCTATTTGCTAGCATTTTCTTGAGGACTTTTGTGCCCGTATTCATAAGAGATAGTTGTTTTGAAGTTATCTTTTGTTATACTGTATTTTTTGTTTCAAAATAATATTAGCCTCATAGAAAGAGTTGAGGAATCTTTCTTCTCTTTTATTTCTGGAAGAGTTTACAAATGATTATTATTAATTATTTAAATGTTTGTTAGAATTTAGAAGTTAAGCCATCTTGGTTTGGTCTTCTCTTTGTGAATAGTTTTTAAATTACCAATTTAGTCTTTTTACTTGTCTATTCAAATAATGTAATTCTTCTTAAATCAGTTTCAATTTTTTCTTTTCTAAAAATTTTTCCATTGTGTCTATGTTATCTAGCTTGTTGGCATTCTATTTTTCATAGTATTCTTTTATAATCCATTTTGTTTTTGAAACAGCAACAGTAATGTACCCTCTTTCATTTTTGATACTAGTGATATGGAAGGGGGGCAGGGAAGTGCTGGGTAGAGAAGGGCAAGTCACTGGCAAGGGCTCCACTCTAGGGCCTGTGACCACGGACCTAGGTGAGGACAGGCATTTCTGTTTTCATGCTTAAACGTTGCATTCTCCAAGATCACCCTGGCCCACCACTGCCCTATCCTATGCTTATGAAAACCCCAAGACCGTAGTGGGTAGAGACACAAGCAGCTGGACATCCAGAGGAACACATCAGTGGAAGAAGACACAAGTGGCAAGATGTTGTAAGAGCACACCGACAGATGCCAGCAAGCTGTAAGGCCATCCACTGAAGGAACAAAGTGGAGTATGTCTGGGGCAGTTGGAGGGGGATCCCAGGCTGAGAGGCCTGACTCCAGTGGAAAGCCAACTTCTCACTGTCTCACTTCTGGTTCCCCCGTCTGTTGAGAGCTACTTCCATTTAATAAAACCTTGCACTCATTCTCCAAGCCCACGTGTGATTCAATTATTCTGGTACACCAAGGCAAGAAACCCTGGGATACAGAAAGCCCTCTGTCCTTGGGGTAAGGCAGGGGGTCTAACTGAGCTGACTTAACACAAGCCGCCTACAGATAGCTAAATGGAAAGAGGCTACTGTAACACACACCCACTAAAGCTTCAGCTGTAAACATTCACCTCTAGATTCTGCCGTGGGGTCAGAGACCCACAACTTGCCCATCTGCATGCTCCCCCTAGAGGTTTGAGCTGTGGGGCATCAAAGAAGTGAGCCACACCTCCATCGCATGCCCTGCGAGGGAGATCAGGGAAATTTTCCCATTTCACTAGTAATTTGATTCTTATCTTTTTAAATTAGTTAATAGAGAAAAAATTGATAATTGTTGATCTTTTTAAAGAATGCCTTTAATTTTATTGATTTTTTCCTATTTTTACTCTATTCTATTCTCTATTTCATGTTTTCACATGAAATTTAATACTTCCTTTTGTTTGCTTCATGATTAGCTTGCTTTTCTTTATCCATTATCTTCAGGTGGAAAGTTAAATTATTAATTTGGGATATGTCTTTTTAAAAATAGGCATTTACAAGTATAAATTTTGTTTTAATCATGGATTTTTCTGCTTTTTAAATTTTACTATATTATCATAATTTTTATTAATCTACTAGTATTTTCTAATTTCTCTTTTCATTTTTCTTCAGCTTATTCATTATTTAAGAATGTGTTGTTTAATTTTCACATATTTTTTAGTTTCTCATATTTCTTTTGTTATAGATTTATAATTTCATTACATTGTAATAAGAGAACAAACTTTGCATTATTTTTTATTCTTTTAAATTTATTAAGGTTCATTTTATGTCACAATATATGGCCTATTGTGGAGAATGCTCCATGTGGATTTGAGAAGAATGTATATTTTTCTATTGTTGGGTGGAATGTTTTGTAGATGACTGTTAGGTTCAGTTTGCTTTTCAAGTCTTCTGTTCTCTTGTTGATCCTCTGCCTATTAGTTTTATCTATTACCAAAAGTGGGGGTATTGAATCTTCAACTAGTGCTGTTGAGTTGTATATTTCTCTCTTCATTTTTGTCAGTTTTGCTCACTGTATTTTGGTGGTCTGTTGTTAGGTGCATATGTATTTATAATTGTTATATTTTTCTGATGGAATGACAATTTAATATTATAAAATGTAACTCTATCTCTAGTAACTTTTTAGATAAGTATTTTGTCTGATACTAGTATAGCCACTCCAGTTTTCTTATGGTTGCTGATTGCATAATACATCTTCTTTGATCCTCATACTTTCATGTAATTCTATGTGAATTTAAGGTGTGTCTCTTGTAGAAAGCATATAGTTTAATCATATATTTTATACACCTGATAGTTTCTGCCTTTTGATTGTGTACATGTTAATAGCATGCATTATTATCTATATAGTTGAAGCTAAAATGTCTGTCATTTTACTTTTGTTTCCCATATGTATCATTTCATTTTTTTCTTCTATTTATTCTCAATTACTATCTTTTGCACTAAGTGAATATTTTCCAAGATATCATTTTGATTTAGTCATTTTTTTCTTTAGTTATTTATTCTGTGGTTGTTGTAGGGCTAAACACATGCATCTAAATTTATCAGAATCAGCTTCAGGTTTATTGAAATTTTATTCCAATGAGATATAGACATGGTACACCTATATACCTTTATTCCATGTCTCTCTTTTTTGTGTTATTATTGCTATACATATCTAAATGTTACAAACTCAACAATACGCTGTTATAATTACTATTTTATATGAGTTTATGACATTTAAAGAAATGGGAAAACAAAGGAAAGCAAGTATACTTTTATAGCTATTGCTATATTAACTTTCCATTTTATCATTTCTGGTTAGCTCTACTTGTTTTGTAGCTTTGGGTAACCATCTCAAGTTATTTTCTTAGGTGAATATAGCTTTGCTCCACCCCACCTCTTTTGCGCTGTTATTGACAAATACATTTTGCAGGTTCAACAATACATTATTTATGTACTGTTTTATATGATTGCTTTTTAAATTGGCTGAGATAATAAAGGAGAAGAAATATGTATAACTATATAATTACTTTAACCAGCAAAGTTTGTTTTTGCATATACATTCAAATTACTGTTTGGAGTCAATTTCTAGCAGTCTGAAGAATTGTCTTTTAATATTTCTTGTAGTTAAGTCTGTTAACAATAATCTCATTTTTTGTTTATCTGAGATAATCTTCATTTTAACTTCATTTTTGAAAGCTATCTATGCTGGATTTGTATTCCTGGCGTTTTTTTTTTTTATTATTTCAAATGTATTTTCCTACTGTCCTCTGGCTTCCATCTTTCTGCTGATAAATCAGCTGTTGACAGAATTGAAAATCTTTGTAATGAGGAATAGTTTCTCTTTTGTTGCTGGCAATATTTCTCCTTGTCCTTGGCTTTCAGCATTTTTAGTAATGATGTGTCTCTTTGTGTATCTCTGTGTTCAATCCTACTTGGAATTTATTCAGTTTCCTGCATATATAAATTAATGTTTTTCTATAAATTCAAAAAATTGACATTATGTCTTCGATTTTCTCTTTTTTCTCCTCTTCTTCTAGTACCCCCTTATGCATATGTTGGTGTATTCACTGCTGTCTTATATTTCTCTGACTCTGTGTTTATTTAAAAAAATATTCTTTTGTCTCCTTCTTCCTTAGATTGCATAACTCTATCAATCTATCTTTAAATTTGCTACTTCTTTCTTCAGCCAGTTCAAATCTACTGTTGAACACCTCCAGTGAATTTTTCATTTCAGTTTTCATTTTTAACTTCAGAATTTCCATTTCTTTTTTGTAAGTTTTATCTCTTTACTGTTATTTCAGATTTTACATGGCATTCCCCTCATACACTGTTTTATTTCTTCTTCTTTTTTTTTTTTTTTTTTTTTTTTTTTGAGACAGAGCTCTGTCACCCAGGCTGGAGTGCAGTGGTACGATCTCTGCTCACTGCAACCTCCGCCTCCCAGGTTCAAGCAATCCTCCTGCCTCAGCCCCCCTAGAAGCTGGGATTACAGGCACGTGCCACCATACCCTGCTAATTTTTGCATTTTTAGTAGAGACAGGGTTTCGCCATGGTGGACAGGCTGATCTGGAACTCCTGACCTCAGGTGATCCACCCACCTCGGCCTCCCAAAGTGCTGGGATTACAGGTGTGAGCCACCCCGCCTGACCTTTATTTCTTTATTCATGATTTTTTAAAACTATTTGAACAGTGGCTATTTTAAAGTCTTTGTGTGTTAATTCTGATACATGGTCACTGTGGTAGGCTATTTCTGTTGCCTGTGCTAATTACCCCTGATCTGTGGTTTTGCTTTCCATGGTTTCACTTACCCATAGTAAACTGTAGTCCAAAAATATCAAATAGAAAATTTTACTGTTTATTTATGAAATAAACAACTCATAATCGTTCAATTGAGTTTTGGTCTAAGTAACATGATACAATCTTACACTATCCCACAGCAACCCATGTCATTCATCCCAGAACATGAGAACACTAATTATTCCTTTGTTCCATTTATTTATGGTTATATACTCCCCACTCATTGGTCCACTCAGAAGGCATCTTGGTTATCAGATGGAGTGTAGTATCACAATGTTCGTGTACAAATTTCCCTTATTTTACTTAATAATGGTCACAGAGGGCAAAAGTAGTGATGTCCGCAATTTGGATATGCCAAAAAAGAATCTGTGTAGTGTTTCCCTTAGGGAAAAGGTGGAAGTTCCATATTTAAGGAAAGAAAAAATATATGCTGAGGTTGCTAAGATCTACAGTAAGAACAAATTTTCTACCCATTAAAGTGAAGAAGGAAAAATAAATTCATTCTAATTTTGCTGTCCCATGTTAAACTGCAAAAGTTACAGTAACAAGGCATAATTAGTGCTTAGTTAAGATGAAAAAAGCATTGCATTTGTAGGTGGAGGGCATGAATAGAAACGTGTTTTGACTGATAGCAATTTGGCTTGTACTGTCCATAGTTTCAGGAATCCACTGGGAGTCCCGGAGCATATCACCCGAAGATAAGGAGAAACTGCTCTGCTTTATTCTTGGTGTACAGGTCACAGTTTCTTGCTTTATTTATGTGGGGTTTCTTTTGTTTTTTTGGACATTTTAGAGAACATATTGTTGAAATTCTTAACACTATTCCTCTAAGGTACCATCTATTAGTTGCTTGTTTATTTTCTAGTGACTGGCTGAATTATTTTAGTGAGGCCTATTTTTAGCCCCTAGCTCCTGTAGGTTAAGCCTCCAGAATTGCTCCTCAACAAGTGCACGTATGAACATTCCCAGTCACCCTGGGATGCTTACTTTGATTTTTTTTTAAACCTGATCATAACTAGTTGATAATCTTCAGAAATTGCTTGCTGATTGTTGAAAGCTGTGGGACACAAATTGCTCTGCAAACAAATCCAATCAAATTCTGGCTGCTTTCAAGAAATAGTTCCTGAGGTCAATGTTTCAATATAGACCTTCCTTTCCTCCAGTGGGTATTGGTGGATGAAAAGAGATCCCAAATACTGTTCATTGTTCACAACTTTGCCTCAGCAACAGGTAGCTGAAGACAGTGTGAAAAATGCTCATCTGCCCATTTCAGGAAAATAGTCCTTTACATATTTTAGTGCTTATCACTTGGCATGCTGTAAAACTGAGTGCAGTTGAAGAATATATTCTCACTGATGTTAATTATCTTTGAGTTTCACACATCCAGGCCAGTTTCTGTGTTGCTTGATATCAACAATGTCTTCAATGTTAATTTTCCAATTTTTGTTTTCTAACCGAAGGAATTTATTATTGATATAATACCATTCATATTATACAGATTAAGATATATAACTTTCTTTGTACTTCTAACCTATTTGGACAAAATAAAATAATGACATCCTTATAAATTACCATATGTCATATTTGGACAATGATTGTTTACACAATACATGCCTTGTATCATGTAGAAGGCAGACACGGAAGATAGATAATAAAATATGGTTCTGCAACCAAATATCTTTACCTTTGTAAACAACTTTTACTTTAGAGGTTTCTAATTTTAATAATGAATTACTAAAACTTCTGGTATGACACAGTGAAGAGCTCCGTGGACCTGGTCTATAGAGAAACCAGTGAGCTACTGCTAACATTTTTTATCTGTCTTTTTGAATTATATAAGGATCCATTATTGTCATTATGCAATTGAGAAGACTGAGACTGAGAGGTTTGAATTGTTTTTGTTATTTCTCATAATTAGGGAGGGACAGGGTGAAAAATTTAAACCCAAGCTATTTATTTTTGAATTCTTTATTCTTTTAGGTAAAATGTGTTACTTTTAAACAACTGTTAAAGGGTTTAGCCATTTGCAAGAATTAATAACAATATCAATTTTATGTAGAGTTTTAAAAGATAAAATCTCTGCTTGTGAATAGCAGAAAATATCACGTTGTGCAAACACATTAAGCTATTGAAAAAATGACCTCTAAATCTCTACTAGGTCTAATGTTCTAAGATCAGCTGAAATGCCAAACTCTGTGCTGCTCCATGTTGAAGAATTCATAAATATTTGAGGAATGAAAATATGCAAATAATGTCTTTATCCCTTTAGATATCAAAGCCAATACTTTTGTAACTATTCTGCATCTAAAAAGGTTCAGACTACAAATTTTTGCTTGATTTTGAAAACAACTCAAGCCTCTGCACTTATACATCCCCATTCATTTGCAATTTAAATGAAGCTCCTTGTGAGATAAAATTTATCTACAAAATGAATAACAGTGCACTGATATACGGTGGGCAAGGGGCATTAAGAAGAAGTGGATATATCAAAACAGTCTCAGGAGCTACCTGACTTACTCCCCTTTGCAATTCTGGAACACTCACGTATACATATGAAAAATGAAGTTTATTACCTTGAGAAAGAGAACATTTGGAACAAATCTATTAAAATGAATGCTCTTTCCACTTCATCCCACCCCCATTCACAGAATACCCTTTGACAGCCAATGGAATATAGAGAAAAGAACTAAAATTGATCTTAACTTATAGGTCTATACTAAAAGTTGTATGTTAACCCCATTCTCAGCATCAACGCACACAAAAGGGTTGATTGAATACTAAATGTATTTTATGATTTTCAAGTATGGAAAAAAAATGAGTATTTTCTGTGTGTGCTCTGAGAAAAAAATCTGCAAGAATTTATGTGGGATACCAACAAACTCATCCACGATATTTACCCCACAATAGTTTTAAAATTCATACATTAGAAAATACCTTTTTAGGGGCTGGCACGGTGGCTCAGGCCTGTAATCCCAGACCTCGAAGCGGGCGGATTACAAGGTCAGGAGATTGAGACCATCCTGGCTAACACGGTGAAAATCCGTCTCTACTAAAAATACAAGAACAAAATTACCCGGGCATGGTGGCTCATGCCTGTAATCCCAGCACTTTGCGAGGCTGAAGTGGGCGGATCATGAGGTCAAGAGATTGAGACCATCCTGGATAACACGGTGAAACCCTGCCTCTACTAAAAAATACAAAAAATTAGCCGGGCATGGTAGCAGGCGCCTGCAGTCCCAGCTACTCTGGAGGCTGAGGCAGGAGAATGGCATGAACCCGGGAGGCGGAGCTTGCAGTGAGCCGAGATCGCGCCACTGCACTCCAGCTTGGGCGACAGAGCGAGACCCAGTCTCAAAAAAAAAAAAAAAAAAAAGAAAATATCTTTATAATTATTTCGCCAATAAATGTTGATGCTGAAGTGGTCTATTTCAGGATGGTAGCAATATAAATATTGGCTAAATATAAATAAAAACTATTTAAAGTTCTACATATGGAAAGAAGGGAACATTTTTTTTCTTGCTTTGAGAGTTAATATTTCCATAATATTTGATGGTGTGTTACCTGCATATTCTTAACGAAAGTGGTATTTATTAAAGAGACTATTTTATGAAAGGTATTAAACACAGAAAAATACTGCAACAATGGCATAAAGCTTAAAAATAAAATAAGATCAATCATGTAAGCAGGAGAAAGATATGTATGTGTCTCTGGAAAAAGGAACACCAGCTAATCTACAATTAATTGACGGCTAAAATCATTGACAAAGTCAGTGCTAATTTGTGTGAATACTGAACCCATTACTCAGTTGTTTTAATGTGTTTTGTCATACGTATTTGTTTATTTTTTCAAATTATTTTGAAAGCTATTAATAGAAAAAAAAAAAAGGATTTCCAAGTTCTTGAGAAAGGACACCTTCATTTTTCCTCCCTTTCCCTCCCCTCTTCATATTCTTTTCTAGAGAGGATGCTGGGCATACAGCCACAACTCTTGAGGACAGTCCAGTGAAGTGTGTGTATGGTGGTGGGGGGGAGAGGTAGCTTAATTATATGACAGGATAAATGTTTTTATAAAGCACAGAGAGAGTAATTAGCTCCTTCTTAACAAGTCAGAAAATGCTTCATTGAAGAGGTGATAAATTTTACCCAATGCCATATCTAAATCAATAGAAGTCATAATACATTGCATTCTCATTTTCCAAGGCCCTTTCCAATTTCTATTTTTATATACTATTTATGAGATTTTTACAGAAGCGAATAAGGAAATTAAGGCACAAAGTTAAGAATCTTGTCACAGGTTACATAGACAGTTTGTTGTGGGGCCAAAACGAGACAACAAGCCCCTACACTCAGTTTACCATCTATATATTACAGCACAAATGATGATTTAGCAACAAAAAGCTATTACATGCACTCTTCAACTTAAACTAAAAGTTTTTAATTAGGAATAATCAGGTAATATACATTTTTAAGCATAAAGCAAGTATGTGGAAACAATGATAATCCAAGCTTACTGTATTTTCCATTTAACAGAATGTTTTTCTTATATGTAGGTGATATTTGTTTATTAGTAGGAGCTGCACTCCTATTGAGCAAGTTGTCAGAAAATCATTATGCTAGCAGTTGGAAATTTACTTGAATTGGAATTCGTCCAGGGAAAATAGTAGACTAAATTATAGCACAATCTTTTTCAAACAAATGTAGTATTAGAAGGTAGCAAAATGATTATTTCCTATATTATGATTAAGGAAAAATATAAACTCTATAGTTGTAATGAATGAACTAATATAGTGTAGTGGGATTTTGTTTTGTTTTGTTTTACTAGAGATAAAAAATGGTGACGTACATCATTTGTTTTTTATTAGTAGAAAGTATATTCTTAGCTTATAATTGAAACACATTTATATTTAAACTAAAACAAATTTAAGAAATATTAGATGATATAGCAGTTCTTTTAGTGATATCATATAAAGGAAGTCAAAAATAATTTACATAGAACAGTGTCAATATGTATATCATGTTTAATATTCATAATGACTAATTACGTAATAGCATATTAACGTAACGTAGGCACAATAGCCTAAAATAATGTCAAGATTTTGAATATGTGAAAAATATTGCAACACCTTCTTTATAATCATTACATATCACATAAGAATATAAATTTAAAAGCAAAAAAATTATATTCTGTCAAAGTGGAGTTTATTATACTGTATTTATTTTATTTAAATAAATTTATTTATATTCTTAAGTTCAATACCCAGGCTGGTATTGAACTCTTGGACTCATGTGATCCTCCTGCCTTGGCCTCCCAAAGTGTTGGAATTACAGGCCTGAGCCACCATGCCAGTAATGTACAATATTTCTTGAGAAGAAAAGTGAAAATTAAAGAAGCTGAACAATGTTAATTTTATCATTGTCTTACTGTGTTTTTCAATAGGATCAGCCTTGTGTGTATGTAGTAATACATGGTATAATTTTAGTTCTGGAGAAAATATTTTCTGGCCCTGCAAAAGCCTATTCCCTTTCAATTAGTTTCCTTTCCTATCTTTCTCTAATTCATTACTTTGGTTTAAGCTGGAAATGTTGAGTTGTAGATATTGTGTCCACTGTCCTCTTCCTCACCTCTAGGTACACTATTGATCTCAGTTATTCTCTGATTACAATTGCTTGAGGTCTTCAGTTCTAGACTCAAATAGATACCATGGGAACTGGTTTGTAGTGTCCTCTGCAGTAGTGGAGCAGCAAAACATTCATCACTGACTGATAGCTGGTTTTGGTCAACTGCAAACTCTGGTGTCCTAATGGCTTATGTAATCCCTTGCCACGGCAATGCCGTTGTGCTTGCTTCAGCCATCTCTTTCCCCCGTCTCTGTGGAGAGCCATATCCCTGGTCATAAGCAGCTAAGAAGACTGGATCTTTTTGAGTTCATAACATGCAGCCTCAGCCATGTTCTCTTTCCTTCTCTAATTTTTTTCTAAGCTTAGCAGCATCTCTTATACACATCCAAAGGTAATTATAACATTTTTTGTTAATACTAAAACACATCATCCTTTCTCACATATTGTCTACTCCTAATGCATCACAATGACCATCGCAACTCCCTTCCAAACTGAAGCAACTTTTAATGCTTTACATTTTATTTCTCTCCTTTTGAGAAGACCCAGATAACTTTATATCTATCAAAATATAATGTGGTTTTTAAAATAAAATAAAAATTTTCAGTCAACTCTGCATCTTGTTAAAGAAAAAAAACAGTCAAGTACCTTCTTCCATTTGTATATCAGAGTGATTTACATTTTCAAGAAGTTACTTGATTCATAAAACAGAGGAACAATGGAACAGAAACTCAGTTTTCCTCAACTTACACTGCTGCCTAGCATCAGAAAGTGGGCTAAATACAGGCTGTTTATTAAAGACATTGTATATCTATTATTTTATGTATTTATTTATTACAAATTTATTAAAATTATTTTATGTGTTAATACTTCTACTCTGTAGTACTGATATAAGGATGGAAATCCTTATCTTTATTCTAAAAGGAAACAAGATAATCATAGTAATAGCCAATATTTATTTAATATTTAATATTCTTGAGGAACTTACATGTATTGACTCATTTAATTTTCACAAGAACACTGTATTTTACTGATGAAAAAGTTTGCCTTTGTCATATAGAAGTTTCAGATCCAGTATTCCAAACCATGTAGTTTGAGTCCTGAGCCCTGCATTTAACCATTACACAATACTGGTAATAAGTGAATACTGAGTCTACTATATATGTATCTACCATATATATATACATAGTATATAGAACCTCTACTATATATCTACTATATATATATATATATATATACTATATATCTATTATATATATATACAGTGTGTGTGTGTATATATATATATAATACTCTCTTTTATTATTATTTATTTATTGTGGAAACTAGGAAAAACTATGTAAAATCTAGGACACTTCCTTTTGTTTTGCTTACTCGTTAGCAAAAACCACAGAGTAAGAACCAGTATTCACATTCATTAACATCCAGTTCCATTCTATTTCCAAGAACATGAGAAGATTAAACTACCCCCCCAACCACAGACACTTGGTTAAATATGACAATATAACTTGCCCTGGACAACAAAATATGTGCTGGAGTGACATGTGTCTCTTCCTAGTGTAAGCATCAGTTCCCATCTCTTCACTGACTTTCTTCCTTTATGTCAACAGTGCTGAAGAAACATTTTAATATGGAGGATCAGTGCTGAGTCATCACATGGAGGACCTTGAATCCACAGTGTACTTTGGGTGATAAAGACAAAATCATTTAAAAAAAAATCGCCAATATTTGGCATTGTTTGTTATGAGAGAATAAATTTACTACTTCTGACTTCCACAATTCTAGTTCAGATTAGAAAAGTCCAGCCAACACTGGACTTCCCTGAGAGTATCGGCTTCTAGTTTGAGTCAAAGTTCCCATGGCCATAGCTTTTCCAGACATCTGTATCTAGATTAAACACAGATCATTATAAGTGCACAACAATAGTGCACATGTGTTTCAGTGGTAAGTACAATTTATCTTTCTCTGCTACAAACCCTGCTGTCTCAGTTTAATTGGTATGTTAGTATGCAGTGGTCATACAAACCTGTTCGTCCCGTAACAAACTCTGGAGAGCATAACCTGCGGGCCTTTGTGGGGATTTGCCTGTGGCTTGGTGTCCCCTCACCATTGGAACTGACCTGGAGAAAAGCCCAAGTAGTCACTTGGTTCCACTGAGCTATGGGCTGTCTTCAGTGCCTTGCCTATCAAAAGGCAGTACTGACCTTCAGCACATAAATTGCTTAAATAAATAGTTTCTGCTTTGAAAGATGTCTTTGTTAAGTCTTCTTTGTGCAACTGGCATCTCCTTTCCTTTATCCTAATTTACTGGCCTCTGCAGAGGTCTTATGGACTCCTCAGAAGATCTGTAGTTTCTTCTGAGTCCTTGACAACCCTCCCTAGTAATAGTAAGCAGTTATTGTTCCATGGTTGGGTTGTTTAAGAGAAGGGTTCACTGAGAAGAGTTACTAAATCTCATATTTAAATGAAAATGTTTGAAAAATTGTCTTGTTTAAAATGAATTATTAAACAAAATTTATTAACGTACTATTAATTAATGACACTAAGATAGGACCCAAAATTGCTGTAACTTCGTGATTATGATAGTACAAAAGGTAAATTGCAAAAGTAATATACGTGTAGATTATAAAGCATCTTTCTCAGCTAAAGAAAATAGGGACTGGGTTTATGAGCTATTTGGAAATTCTAGTCTATGTAGGCAGTCAAACTCTGTCGTGGGGAGGTACTGAAAAATATGACAGGTGATTCCTTAGGTTGCTGGAGTGCCCTAAGGAACCAATGTAAAAATTGTTACTTGACAGGTGTCAATTGTACAGCACCTCAGTAAGTTACATGAAACAATTATTTCATAGCAGAGGTTGAGCTCAATTTGGATTCCTGCCTTCCATCACTTGCATAACCTATAAAGTTTAGGAAACTAAATATATCTGGGGTCTTGCAGCATATTGTAGGTAGTATTGTCAAGCCTTTCTGCAATGTTAATCATGGCTAGTTCTAAATCTTTTAACCAGTAAGCTTTTGTCACAGCCTATAGTGCCAATAGTGGCTCAGGGACCATGGCTTATTCATTTACTCAGGAACAGTGGTGTCAAACCTGTATGTTAACTTTAAATACATTGGTGATCTGACAACTCAAAGTTAATTTTTGAAATTTGCCCCTGAATTAACAGTATTTGCCAAAATAGAGCAAACTTAGTGTGGTGGTAGTAATACTATAGTAGATTACATTATGTTTAAGAAATTTCAAAGAAAAATCTACTAGAAGTCTGTCTGACAGTAAGGCTGATCTGGTTATTATTTACGTGTAACAAAAAACCTCAAAAACTTTATGTTTAAAAAAATCATTTTATATTGCTCATGATTTTGTGTGTCAGGAATTCAGGATGGGCTCAGCAAGGGCTCCGGTCATCAGAAGGTCCAACAGAAACTCCATATCTGATACAGTTTACTCTCATGGCTGGCAGTTGATCATGGCTAATGACTGCTCTATGTGGCATATCCAGCATGCTGTTCTCCATGGGGTCAGACTTCCCACATGGCAGCCAGCTTTCCCCAAAGCAAACATCCTTAGAGAACCAGAGAGAAGAAGCAGTGGCCTTCTCTCTGACTTAGCTCTGGCAAAATCATACTATTACTTCTGCTCCACTCTGTTGGTCAAAGAAATCACAAGGCCTGCCAAGGGAAGGGAATTAGATTTCAGCTTTTGAAGTAGGAGGAGAAAGGTCATATTGTATTAAAAAAAAAGCCCTGAAAGATGGAAGATAACTTTGTGGCTATCTTTATGACTGCATTGAGCTAGTTTAATAATTTTGGCTTCCAAGAAAATAATATAAATCATTCTTTGTTATTGATTTAACAACAGTGCATCAAACAAGCTTCTGCAGCAGGTAATAATGTTTTAGAAATACTAATTCATAGTTCCAAAACTGCTATATGATAAGTCTGGATGCAGGAGAAGAAACAGATAATAGGACTGATGAAGTGATAGTTCTTTTGGTTAAAGATACTAATGCACAATGGGAAGAAGCATACAAGTAACTTAATACTTGTGTCTAAAGCATACAACAGCAAACCTTGCTAATACAAACAGACAATTTAAAGTCATTTATACTTATAATAACTAATACCTAGCTTGCATTTATTTATTGATTAATAACACCTAGGTTTATAGTAACAATGTTTTAAAATTACTGACGGTTTTAAAACACTTAATTCACTGAACCCAGGCACATCTCATTTGAAGTCTGAAAGCCCCCAATGTAGAAGCTGTGATGTGGGGAATGTTATAGTCTATTTATGGATTGTCTTTTGAAATCTAGTTCTACTAAAGGAATGTTTTTGAGGATTGCCTAATAAGGAAATATATTAAGAATTTAAAATACAGGTTTAGGAACCACTCTTATCATTCTCAAAGAGATTCAATCTTGACTTGACTGATTTAAAATAAATTTCACACATAATGGGAACTCTGCGAGAAGTAAGAAAGGCGGCAGAACAAATGCTGGGTTTCCTGTGGCATTCATAAATGTTTCCTAGGTGAGCAATCGTCTGTCTCACTGGTTATTCCTCACCAACTTTTTTGGTAAAATAATCAGTAAAAGGATTATATAATCTTCTACAAGAATAAAAATGCTTCTTAAAAAAGTATAGCAATACCTACCAAGTCAGTCAACTTAGTCTAGGATTCATCTAAAATTTTTGAAAGTACATTTTGGTTTTTTTTTTTTGAGACAGACTGAGTCTTGCTCTGTCACCCAGGCTGCAATGCAATGGTATAATCATAGCTCACTGTAGCCTCAACCTCCTCAGCTAAAGCAATCTTCCTCGACCTCCTGTGTAGTTTCTTTTAAATTTTTTGTTGAGACAGGCTCTCACCTTGTTGCCCAGGCTCGTCTTGAACTTCTGGCCTCAAGCGATCCTCCTGCCTCGACCTTACAGACGTGAACCACTGCACCCAGTCTGAATATATATTCTTCTTTAATTTTCACAATAGCCATATGAGGTAGATACTATTATAACTCATTTACAAATAAGAAGAGTAAAGCCCAGAGAGATGAAGTAACTTTCCCTCACCTACAGTTACTGTGTTGGAATGCAGTATATAAAAACAAATAGTTGGTTTACAGAACATCCCAAATAACTTGTCACTAGTAGCCACTGTTCCCCACCTTCATCTCCTTCTCTTAAAACTTTCCAAGATAAACTCCAGCTTCTATTTTTAGCTGGGCTTTACATCTCCTTTACAAAGTTAGCCAGCAAATGTCTCAGTTTCTCATTAATTGGATTATAAACATATCAGAACAAAAATATTTATAGTTAAAGATATGTAAGAAAGAAAAATTCTTTGCACTATTTTTTTTGCATATGGGAATTCTATTGGGAAAAAAAGTGTTTAATATGCTACTCAATGAAAAATTGATTGCAGAATATTGCAAAGAGTTAAAATTTGTGTATAATCTCTGACCTTATTGTATTTTGAGAGATACGGTTCCACATTATTTTATCCCAGATTTATTGAGGGGATTTGTTTTTACACATACCCTAGTGACTCGATTGATGTAAGAGCCTCCAGACTACATTGGTGCAGACAGAAGAAGACTCTACATATTTGTAACCAGTTCTCTAGATACCAGCATTACACCACACAACGGAGGGGAAAAATACACTGCCTTTTGGATCTTAGAGAGTCTCAGGTTGGGTTCACTGGGAAGTAAATTCTAAGACTTTAGGATTTAGACTGTTTATTAGAGAATGCTTTTTGAATCAATATCTGTGTATAGGTAGAGAAGGAAACTGGATTGGTGAGAAAAATAAATTATTCAGTGCTGTGTCAGTGAAGGCTGCAACTGATCTAAAATAGAGCAGTGAAGCTGGAATAACCTTTCAAGTTTGTCCAGAAGTAGGGCACGTGGTTGTAGACTTTATAAACACACTCATTTTCTAATTCCTTGAAATCCATCAGTTACTGAATTTCGGCTGCCCCAAGAAGGGACCATGAACTTTGACTAGATGTTTCTCTCCAGTCAAGGCAAAGCCTAAGGGGGATAATGGTTGAATTCTGTCACTGGTAGCATCCAGTACCTAGATAAATATGTCTTTCATACTTAAATTAGGACAGGAAGCTCATCACAGAATAACCTAGATGGACAATAATTAGGAGGGCAAAGGAAGGCACTGAGATGGACTATTTGATAAGGGACAATAAGAGGCACAGACAGACTCCTAGCAGAGAACTTCCAATTTCAGCCCTTGGGGGCTAGAGCCAGATTTCCTGTAAAGGAGACAATAACACTGAAAGATAGAGAAACCATATAAACTGTATCATTCACAAGAGAAAAACCCTAACTAAGAAGTTAAGGCAAAACAATAAAGTGGTATAAGTTCAACTAGAATTTGATATCTCTGCCCGTGCGTGTGTCACAAAGAGATGGACACCTGAGCAGTGAAATGGGCACTGCTTGAGCAATGTCAAAGGACTATAGTATTTTTCTGGGTTATTTTTGGTTATTCCCTCAGTACACACTTGGAAGGGAAGGATCAGTTAGATCAGGTTTATCATCTTACAAAAATATGACAGTGGCTGTATTCAAGTAGTACAATGAACAAGGAATTCTGTCTTGTGTTCTTAGTTTAAGTAAGCTAGAAATCAATGTCAAATTCTCTTGGTCATCCTTGAATTTTTACATGTTTTTTTGATAAAAATGATTACCAGAACAAAGAAGTTATGTTATTCGTTGCTGTTGTTTGTTTTTGAGACAGAGTCTACCTCTGTCGCCTAGGCTGAAGTGCAGTGCCGCGATCCTGGCTCACTGCAACCTCTGTCCCAGGATCAAGCGATTGTCGTGCCTTATAGCTGGGAATACAGGCGGCCGCCACCATACCAGGCTAATTTTTGTATTTTTAATAGAGACGGAGTTTCACCATGTTGGCCAGGATGGTCTTGAACTCCTGACCTCAAGCAATCCACCAGCCTCGGCCTCCCAAAGTGCTGGGATTACAGGCATGAGACACTGCACCTAGCAGAACAAACAAGTTATATTATTTGAAGACTATTATATCAAGCTTATCTTAGGTATTTATTATTAATCATAAACAGAATTCAAATTTATCTCACCAAAGTTGGTTTAAGAGTAATATTTAGATGTATTGCTTGTAGTTCAATGTCACGTGAGTACCTTTCCCTATGACATTGCCACAGAAAAGGGGAAAATATTTGTTTATATATTTTGTTTTCACATAGTATATAAGCTATTCAATTGGGAAACTTTTGACTAAATGGCTAAAATGGAATACTGCCTGTTATAGCAAACATAAAATACTTGTTATATCAAACATAAAATATTTTCATATGTTATATCAAACATAAAATATTTTCATATGTTATATCAAACATAAAATATTTGAAAGAATGAAGTCTTCTTATAATAAAATCACTCTGCTGCTTCTATTCTAATTTAACTGAAAGGGATATCTTATTACATTTTCAGATTAGAAGTTATTGGGTTTCAAGTTTTACGTGACTGAGAATAAACTATATCACCAATTGAAGGTCATCAGTCGGTTTCTGGTCTTTGGAAACTTTACAATACCAAGTTTGGAAATTGTTAATTCAGTCAAACATTCTTTTAAAAGGTAGCTTTTCAAACAGTGATAATCTTTCAATTAATAATTTTAATAATTTCCAGACCATTTTTGGACTTATCTTTCTATTCTTTGAATATTTCATTCTGCCCCATATAATGAGGAGCTTTTCAAAGGTAAGAGTCAAAACTTTGCTACTTTTATGATACATTTCAGTAATAAATAAATTATTTCTCATACTACATGAAAAAATATAGAGGATTTCTCTACTGACATAAACAATTATATCACTAAATAATTGTATCTTGTCTTTTTAAAGTAGCTATAGATATATATTTGGCTTTTTTCTTCCATCCAGATATTATGCCAAAACCATGAACATAAATTAAAAATGAGAAAGAATACTGGAGCATGATGTGAATTGTATATATAATGAGTTCATCATGAACATAGAAAATATTAAGGTATAGGTTCATCTATTTTAAAAATTAAATCTAATGTATTATCTGTGATATATTAAGAAACCTAGATGTTTAAAAGTACCATTGTAAAAAATATGTAGATCTGAAAGTAATAGAGGCAAGAGTAAAGAGTGGACATGCTTATTCTGGGTTGCTTGCACAATCAGAGGTTTATTTCTTCTCCTTAGGAAGGGACTACAGCCTAATCTTTCACAGGTTTGAAGAACTCACACCTCTGGCTAGAAAAATTATCACTATCCATAGACTTAATATTCCCAGATGATGGGCACCTGTTTTTCAGAAATCTTTTGCATATACCTGGTATTTAGACTTCTGGTACCCAAGAAGTCTATTTTTTTTTTTCTTCTACAGGGATTGTTTTTATACCTGTCCCATATGAAGCAAGTGTAACACAAAAACAAGTGTCATCCACAGAGATGGAAACCCCATCGTGTGTCCAAGATATTGTCCATGCATTACCATGCCACTTGGGGAGATAACAAAGACCTGGAGACCATGTGCCTCTATTCTTGTTGACTCTGCTGCTAAGTGCATTACTTAATCCATATCCAAGGGCATGTTGGATTCACCCCACAGTCTATTGTCAGACAGTTGTCTCCACAAAGGAATCATGTTTCCTGGAGAATATATATTTAACCTTCTCATGTTTTAGTTCTGTTCCAGGTTAAAAGGAATTGAGGACTTGAACTTTCTGAAGGAAAATATCTCATATAGAAACCCTCTCTTCACATAAACTCAGTTCTCAATCCCACATACCTTTCTATGTAGCAGCTTATTTTAGGCCCTATAAACAGACTTCCATTCTCTATTTTTTCACACACAACACACACACACACAAATAAATTCTACCCCCTTATAATAAGAAACTGCAGCAACTCAAATTTCAGTCAGTATCAAAAAATAGTTCTCTTCTATCAAGGTTCCATTGACTCAGGAAAGAGTGAGGATGTGAATGGTACTGTAGATTCATGAGTGGGATGAGCTTGGGTGCTCTCAGTCTAATTGTTTCCCTACCAGAGATAATGGCAACTTCTTTATTTAATGATTTTCTTATAATAATTACTGATGAATTAAGACCACCTTACTCAGCTGATCATTACGTTTCTTCTACAGTTATATAACCATATTTTTTTCTGAATTAATGTATTGGCTTTGAATTTTGTGGTGTCATTGTATAATTTTCATTGTTAGTTTCAAATATTAAAATAAATACCATTTTCTATTATTTAAACATATCAGGCTGGGCTTTTTGAGGCAGTTGTCAATAAACAATGATAGATAATACATTATTTTTACTCTTCTGTGTCTGCATGAAATAGCTTTTCAAATTCTGACCTTAGCCACCTCTATTTCCTTGGACACAAGCCAAGGAGAAGCAGTTTAGTTTCAAATATATGAACTAGCAGCAATTCGGTACACAAGCTTAGTTCCTCTTCAGTCTTCAGGGTTCATTAGAATTATGGTGCTCTCTAAGGTCTACACACCAATAGGCAGGGTAGCCCTTCTAAAAGTACTCCTTTGTGATTCTCCCTGACAAGCACCAATAAAGAGTCAAGAAAGTCTGTCTCAGTTTTAGAATTCAAGTTGACTGGTCTTCTTGAATGATGGCATTGAATATCACAGGGAAGAAAACTCCTGTCTTTACCCCTTCTGAGATCCTGGGAGAAACATTAGATATGTGACTGGTGAAATCCCTCAATGCCTTTGACATCAGTTTATGTATCTGAATATTATTACTATTTAGAACTAATATCATTTTTAAGTCCATTTTAAGTCTAATATTACTATTCATATTACCAACAATCCATCAACCATTTTACAGGTTCAGCCCATCCATCTTTTTCTTCCATATTTCTTACAATGTCTTAATGGCTGCCTGCTCTTGTTTTCTCTCATTTTAATCTATTATTTAAAGTGAGGTTAAAAATATTTCTATGAAATAGTTCTGGTTATGTCTTTTTTAAATCTAAATATTCTTTAAGTTACTGGTGTAAATTTCAATCTCCAAAGATAAAATATCCCCAGATTCCTTAATTTAGTGCTTAATTTTACAATCCAGGCTAGTTTCTTGTCACTTCCTAAATTACACAAAGGAATTGAAATTGCTTTATGTTGCTTAATGCTCACATCATTGTCCCTTTCTTAAGGTTTTAGAGGGCCCCTGATTATATTCAGCATGCTTTTGCTGTTTATCAATTGTTTGCCCAGCTCTTATACTTTTTTCAGGATTCAACTCAATGATTATCTTCTACAGGGAGTTACAGACTTCTTTAATCTGTCCATACAAGTTGGAGTGTAGCTATCTTGTTATGTGTCCACATAGTAAACTTTAAACTTACTTCCTTCAAAATATATATACACTTTATTGTAATTTTGCAGTTACTTTCTGTTTTAACTATGAAAATTTGATTTTTAAAAAGCTAGATATTGAATCTTATTTGCTTTTAATCCAATTGGTTTAGCACTATTTTCTGACTCATAGAAAATGCATGCACAAATAATTCTTAAACTTCGAATGAATCTGACAGTAATATTAACTATCTCTCAAGTTAAATAATTTACATAATAATTATACCACCCATTACTACAAATACCAGTTTTTGGTAAGTCATAGAATTAAATAATTTACGTATGGAATATAAGCTAGTTGTCTTAACAGTTCTTAGAAGTCTGTTCTATCATTATACTATTTTTTTAAAAAATATTACTTATATGTAGGTAGTAATTATTTATATTATTACCTATATGCAGATTTTTTTAATGTCTGGAACTTCCAGACTTCCAAGATTTAAAAACAAAATTCACATATATAGGCATAAGGAGACCATTTAAGTTGCCAGGTCTATTTAATTAAACGTGGTGGATCCCAATTTCTGAACTGATGAAAACACTTCAGTGTGTGCTCTTATACATGATTATCTATACTCTGACTGATTGCCTTATTAAAAATAAAAAAATTAAAAAAACAAACATTAATAAATTTTTAGATGACCCAACTTAAATTTGCACAACATGTTTTCAAGGACTTCTATAATAAAACATAAACAATTACCTACAGAAATAAAATAATAAAGGATGGAAAAATTAGCTTCACCAAACCCTCAGTGCACATTGCAACTTCTTCTCCCTGATCTAAGATAACTTTAGGATAAGTAGCATGATGTTCCTGGTACAACTTACAGATCCAAATGTAGTCTACTGTGGTTCTCAGGAGTAGATCTCATAATAGTTCATCCAATGTGATAATAAAGTGGACTCCCATGAAGTCAACAAATTTGAAAGTACTCTGTAATTTGGTAAAGAGGTCAAATCTAGTTACAGGCAAACTCACATTCCTTTCCTAAAATAATTTGTTAAATTATTCTAAAGCAGCTATACAACAGAGGTGAATTCGAGATTATTTTTTAAATGTTAATTTTCATTAGTGATCAGCTACTGCATATGCAGTAAAATTTATTTCCTTACCACAGTGAATAAAATATTTAAGGATAAATTTGAAATAATAGCATATATAACACTAAATTCCACAGACCATGACTGAAAAAATAGACTTGTTCATAAGGCTGGAGAAATTTAAGAAAATTCTTATTTTCAAGAAAATAGCAGGAGTTTGGACTTATAATATGTAATTACTACCTACGTGCAGGTTTTTAAAGAATATTTTTAAAATTATGTTTCCATTTTAAGGATACATTTATTTTTAGGCAATGGTTCTAAATAGTTCACACATAAGAAAGCAAAAGTGAGTTTCATCATTTAGATCCAACATTAAGAGTGGCTATTTTGTGTGAAATTTTTCCATTCAACTTCTCTTTTAACCAAATACAGTTTTGCAACAAGTTTGATTGATGGAATATCATATTACTATAATGTTTTAGCTACTATTATGGTTTAGTTCAAAGAAAAGATTTTGAGGTCATATAGACATGAATTTGACTCTTTCTATTACCTACTGTTTGTGTGACCTTAGGTAATTTTTTTTTTTCTGAGCCTCCATCTCTTCCTTTGGAAAATAATAAAATACTTAATATAATTGTGATGATTAAAATATAATGTATAAATAGACCTAACACATAGAAGCTAGTTTTTAAATGTTAACCTATTATCAGTAAGTTTCCATTTAAGTTCTATTGTGATTTTTGAATTCAGCAATTAAATCTCTTTAATTTGCATATGTTAACTTTAGGTGGATGAGTTGCATTCAGACAGAGATAAATCACAATAAAACACAAAGTGTGATGATGAAAACCAAAAGCTTAGGAATCATCATCCTTGGGAAAAGTGATTGAGTGATTTAAGATAGTGATTTAAGGATTGATTGTCATATCATTGTGAAATCATTAGGACATACATTAGATTTTTTTGGTTCTTAGTTTCCTCACTTATATATGGTTGCCAAAAATATTTTTTAAAATATTTTAAAATATTATGTTAATGTGAATTGCATAAGTAAATAAAAACAAGTAAATAAAAGACACATAAATTTTTGTTTAAAGATTTATTTGAATTTAATTAATGTCAAAGTGATTAAGAAAACACTCAATGCAAATGTATTTTCATTGAGATGAGTTACACTATCACTTAAAAGCCTTTAATTGGCATCTAAATCCTAGGCATTGGTTTTACTTGAGAAAAATTATGGTTGAATTTCTTTCTAGGCTAGAACCTCATTTTTAACTTTACTCTTCATTATTGGTATACTTTTCACATTATTATAAAGGTCAGCAGAACCCACAGAGTAAAAAGGAAATTAATGGATTTTGAATCAGGAAATTAAAAAAAAACTGAACTTTACTTAGAATTCTATAGTGGCCCTTTTCAGTAATGTTTCAGGGAAGAACTTACCAGTGAAATTTGCAGAAGAACTTATGTAAATAGGGTAAAGTACTTTTATGAAGTGGGTTTTAAACATTAGCTTTCTCTTCTACCTAGTTCAGTATATTGAGATAATAGCTACTAATTGTCACTCTCTCCACATATTCATTCATAAACAGACACCCCCAGATACACACATACACACAAATATACCCAAATATAATGCCCACATAATGTAATGCAGGTTCATCATGTATAATATATATGAATATATATTACTGCTTTTAATGTTTTATTTTCTTAGGAAAAATGATAGTTTGCATTCATGCAACATGTTGCAATGTTCAATGAAAGTTAAGTATATTTTCAACCACTATTTCTACTCTTTTGAAAATAGCATCTATTAATTATAAAATGCTGATCAATTCCGATTTATCTTTTTTGATTTGCCCAGTTTGACTCTTTTAATATTCTTAGATTCATATTACCATTTGTTCCTCTTTTTATGTTTTCTATTTTAATATTAGTATTTTTTTGAAGCTCATTCTGTGATCAATATTGTTTTCTTCTACATGTCATTTTGTTTTGTATCATAACCACATTTCTAGAGGAGATACATTTATAGAAAAATGCAGTTTAAAATGTATATATGCCCTTTCTTTTTCCTTCTAAAAATACGTTGAAAAGTACCAAAATGAAAATGCAGAATATGTGACTAAATACAAACATAACATTTATTCTCTATAAAAGAGCTACAGAATTTTCAATATTTTATTGCTATAAACCTCAGTGTTTACAGTATACATTTGAAGAGAATCTTATGCTTAAAGCTCCCATGTGTGAAAAAGTAGAAAATCCTGTTATTTGTGACAACATTGACAAACTTGGTGGACACTGTTAAGTAAAATAAACCAAGCACAAAAAGACAAAAACTGCATGATCAAACCTTTATGTGGAATCTCAGAAAGTCAAACTTGAAGCAGAGAGCAGAAGGATGATTCCCAGGGGCTGGTGGCACTATCGTTAGGTGCGGAGATTGTGGAAATGTTGGCCAAAGGATATAACATTTCAGTTAGACAAGAAAGAAAACAATCAGATCTATTGTGGAGCATGGTGAAATCGTTAATAACAATGTACTATGTACCAGAAAATTGCTAAGAGTAGATTTTAAGTGTTCATACCACAGATAAATATGTGAGGTGATGCATGTGTTAATTAGCTTGTTGTAGCCATTTCACAATGTGTACATGTTTCAAAACATTATGTCGTATATCATAAGTATATGCAATTTTTATTCATCATTTTATAAAACCCTCTACATTACATTTGGAAAGCAATTAACCTCCAGAATAAATATATCGTTAAACTAGTTTAAAAAATACCTGAAATCATAGTTCAAAAAGAAGATATTAATTTTCTTTTTATTTTAGAATTTCAAAAATAAATTATTTCCATCAACACAAATAGGTCTGAATGTTAATTCCATAAAAATATTTTAATCGAGATATAATTTAACATCAGTTAGGTATAACTGGGCATCTTAAATTTATTTTAGGTAAACGGACACATAAATTCACCCATTCTGTTTGTGTAGTAGACTTGCTACCGGTGACAGAGATTCAAGGTACTGGCAGCGTATCCCTACCAGGTCCATAGCAACTTTCGTCCTTGCTTCCTCAGACGAAAGAATTCAACAGAGGGGCATAAAGCAGAAAAAGAGACCGAGGCAAGTTTCAGAGCAGGAGTGGAAATAGAACAGGAAAAAAAAGGAAAAAACGATTGTAAGAGATCCAAGTGTGTGCCTGAAGGCCAAAGAGAGAAAAAAGGGCCTTTAATTTTGATCCCAGGACTTTATAGGTTCTCCTCTTTCCCATGATTCTTCCCTTATGGTGGGCTTTCTGTATGCAGGTGCTCTCCTTATCCTTGGAAAATGAGCAGGACAGTGTATTTAGGGAGTTATACGCATGCCCATCTGAGGCTTTTTTCCCTTTTACGGTAGCGTGTGCCCCTGGAATGTCATGCTTGGCCATTTTGTCTGTTAACACGCATGCCCAAGAAGCTGCCTCTCCCTGGGGTCTGCATTCAGTTAACACTTTTAATGCTAACAGGTGTGGACTATCAGGAGATTGTCTCTCCATGGCTGCCAAATTATCACTTTTACGATAATTGCTGAACCATAACCCGACATTTCTAGTGGGTTGGAGGAGAGCTCCCTCCTGTCCCGCTCATGCCTATCTATTTACCTACTACAGATCATTATTGCTAAAATAAAGATGCAAAAGGTGCACTGAATATTCTAAGGTCTAAAAGCTTAAATGTTTACTGCTACTTGTTTATTTTTCAAAAGTGTAAAATATGAATTCCATGGATATAATCAGTGTAAATGTAATGAAAATTTAAACTTACTCCCATGGCCTTTTATAAAGATTATTTCTGTGCTTATGCTAATTCAGAGTATATATTGCAATACCAATTTCTCCATCATTAACAATTAATAGCAACATAAAACCACAGTATTTTTCTGTGATATAGATGAAAAACTTTTTAAATATGTACTTGATTTACTTTCTAAGTTTTAATAACTTTAAAGGCACGTATAAATAAACATGCTTTTGATCTTGGTGTATCAAGTGAGAGGAGAGAATACATAATTCTTCTCCTGAAAATGTTTAAGAATATCTCATAGTTACTAAGCTTGGCAGAATATTTACAGGAACTACTCAATAACATTGTGTAGCCAAGATTTTAACAAGGATAATCTTATAAATACTATATATATGCCAAAATATCACCTACAGAGATTCATGATTATGGAACAAAAAGATAAATTGAATTCACATTATTCCAGATTTCCTTTAAGCTCTCAAACTAGCTTGTCATGATATTCTTTTGTCACCAACATTTACAACTCCAGGGTCACTTTTCTTTCTCAAACCACAGTTCTTAAGATAAGCTAAGCATTCTGACATGGCTGTGTTCTTCTTCAGATAATCATTAAAGCTTTTGATTTGTTTAAGATCCTTCAGTTGAATTATATAATTTGGGGGACAAATTGACATGATGGCCTCCTCATTAGCTGTTGCTAAATGATATGATCAGTAAGCTTCATCTCAGTCTTTATGTCACATTCATTATACTATTTATCTCATGATTGGCTCTAATTTATTTATGCTCACAAATTGGCATTGCTATCATGTTGGAATGGGCAAGAGCTTACAATAAGAACCACTAATATTAAGTATACTGCAGAGACAATATTCTTTAGAACTTTGGGTATAAAGATTAATTTAATAATCATTTACATTTCATTAAAGGGAACAGAGAATTGCAATTAATTTGTCCACTTTCCAAATAATAGCCTCAATCTATTTTATTTATTTTATATTTTAATTACTTGATGTTACCTGTATTATATTTCCCTTCAAATTATCTAAATTTCATTTTAGTGTCTTCTAAATTCATAAAATCTGGAAGAAATAATTTGATTAATTAGATGTTTATAATTAACATTAAAAATAAATTTTAAATTAGCATAGGCCTTTATATTTTAGAGATTTTTTACATTTTAAATCAGATATTTATCCTTTTTGGTTTCAGTAAGTTTCCCAAGAAACAAAATACTGTTTCAGCAGACACAGTTTTAATCTTCGTTTTAGCAGCCTCATGAAGGTCACAGTATATCTCTGATAGGTCTTAACAAATACACAAATTTGTTTTCATCCCTAATCAAATAAAATAGCAAAATGTCATAAAAGAATGAGAAGTTAATATCACTATTAAATTTTCCATTTTCAAGCAGTCTAAACCACAAATACATACTCATTTTTATTTGTTTTGATACTGATTTTGCTCCCTCCAGTACGACTCTGCTCCAATTATGCACAAAGTTTTAAATATAAATGGAAACATAATAAAGAAGTAGTTCATTTAATTCTATGGACTCTAAAGTCTTAATATATATGCTGAAATCTAAAATGCCTTGAGTTACATAAATACTTTTTTATAAATCAAGGTAACATTGACATTAAATTTATTTCTTTTTTTTGTTTTGTTTTTTTGAGACCGCGTCTCACTCTGTCGCCCAGGCTGGAGTGAAGGGGCACGATCCCCACTCACTGCAAGCTCTGACCCCCGGGTTCACGGCATTCTCCTGCCTCAGCCTCCCGAGTAGCTGGGACTACAGGCGCCCGCCACCACGCCCAGCTAATTGACATTAAATCTATTTCTAAAATTAATTATTTAAAATTAAAAAAATCTAAACATAATGCAGTGAAGACAAAATGAATAATAAAACCAACTTTAAAAACAGAAGAAAAATTAGAGAGGTGAGGCTAGTATTTAGAGCCCCTATACCCTTGCTGTTGACTGTGCAGAAGAGATTTTTTGGAAGTTGAGTATCTAAACAGCAGTCTTTGTGGGGCAAAAATAACACATTAAAGAACAGAAGCAGACATTATCTTAAATATATGAAATTTATCACACTTAAATTCAGAACTCAACAAAACTAATTAGTCATGACTGAGAATAAAATAACACAATTACAAAACAAGTAGCAATAGACAATAGAGCCAAGACCAAGGGATATTCACGTAATGGCATTACCAGGCACAGATGTTAATAAACTTACAACACTTGAGGTGAAATATGATATTCAAATTTTCACATTAAAACTGAAAACTATAAATGTAAACAAATGGATATTTCAAAGTTAAGATACAGTGAATAAATTACAATTCTGAATAATGGGTTAATGACAGATTGAACAGGTTAAGAGAGAATTAGTGATTTGAAATGTATATTAGAATAAAATCTTCAGAGTGAATCAGACAAAGCAGAATATACAATACAAAAGAAAGTAGGAAAAACAGTTACAGTTGCTAGGTAGTTAGGTAGGCATTAGCAGCACGGAGGGGATGAGAAGGGAGAACAGAAAGGCTGTCACTAAGACAGTCCCTGGCCTGCTGAAGTTCAGCCCTAAGACCCTCCTATTTCCACCCTTATGGATGGAGTTTTTGGTAAAGTCTGTGGCCAGCACAGCTGGTAAAAGAGGAAACTAGGGCACAGGTGGAGATTCCCTAAAATGAAACATGCCCAGTAACCTAAAACTGTATCTTTAAGTTAAGCCTAAGCTCATTATACCTTCATTATAATAAAATTTACATGTGGTTTTGCCCCAAAGAGGGCTTTTCTTAATGAATTATGGTTTTAAACATGTGCATTTTAGCTTTAGTTATATAACCATAAACTGGCAATCAACTAACATCATCCTGTCACTCAGAGCTTAAACTTCGACTTCCCCCACAAACTGCGTACAAGCCCTTTCAGCTCTGTAAAGGGGTGCTGATTTCACTTCACAGAAATCAGTCTGCTCTCCCTCTGAGAGTGTATTACTGTGCTTCAAACTTTGCTTTGAGCTTACAGTTTGGTGTTATTCTGCAACTCTTTGCTCACTGTCACAAGAACTGAGATTGCCAGTCCACAGCCCCGGATCTGTTAACTTCCTGCATTAAAAAATCCATTCCAAGGCAGAATTCCTGGTAGCTTAGTTAGTATATCTTTGGTATCTAAAGTAGAGAAAAGAGGAGTGGAGGTAAAAAGCAATATTTGAATAGATAATGGTTGATAAATATCCAAAGTTAGAAATAGACAATAAGCAACAGATTCAAGAAACCCTTATAACCCCTAAACAAAAACAGAATTTTATATTTAAGCATATATAGTGAAAGTAAAACTTAAAATTCAAATTTAAAAACAAGATACCTGAAACAGCAGACGAAAAATTATTACCTTCAAAACAATAAAAGGTAATGTTAAATATCACTCCTTAACCAAGCAATGAAAATCACTTAAATAAAATGAGTTAATTCTAACTTAAGGTTCGAAGAATAGGAAAAAAATTATAGAGAACAAGCAAATGAAAAAGGTTAGGGAGTAGCAGGAAAGGAATTCTATAAAGGTGATATTGTTACTTAACTCCCTGTTTCCCCCATTGGTAATCTTATGTTTCCTTTTCTCTAAGGCAGGGAATTTATGAGAACTCATTCTCTATGAGTAACTACTAATGAAGTTTCCCATTGTCTGCTTTCATCCCCCATGTAAATTAAAAGAAGGAAATTTCCCAAAACAAAAAATATATAGTATATAAGTGGTGTATGCTGAGATAAGATGTTATAAATTTCACAAAGTGTGTTCTCAGATTGTGTGACAAACTATATTTTATGTCCCATATGTAAATTCATATTGTAGTGTTCTGGGAGTGATAGAAGCAAGAGGCAGAGAAATTCTAGGCAGACAGGGCCTGGTCCCCAGCAAAACCCCACCTTTGAGCTGAAAAGCCTGAAACCTGCAGCCTGAAGTAAAACTCAATCCCTGTTTGCCTGCTCTCTCCTGATTGTTTCTTCCTGAATAATGTCTTTTTACCAATTGAATGTTGCCTTTTCCCAAATTACCTACAGTCCACCTGCCCCTATCCTGTGCCTATAAATACCCCAGACTCAGTTGTTAGAGAGAAGCAGCTTGACTGGAGAGAGATGACTGGATTTCAGAGGGATGACTGGATTTCAGAGGGATGACTAGGCTTTAGAGGGGAGATGGCTTAACTTTCAAGAAGAGCCAGCCAGGGACGGCCAGACTTCAGGGAAAATGACCTGCCTGTGCCGCCTACTCTCCAGCTCCCCTCTCAGCTGAGAGCCATTTCCATCACTAAATAAAATTCCCCACCTCCACCATCCTTCAAGTGTCCATGCAACGTTATTCTTCTTGGATGCCAGACAAGAGCCTGGGACCCACCAAGTGTGTTTACCCAAAAAGGCTGTCACACAGGCCCTTTGCTCTCACTGATGGAGGGCAGCCGTCCCACACCATGAGACAATGGGCCCCCTGCGTTGATAATACACTGCGGTCCATGGACTGCAGAGCTAAAAGAGCAATTGTAACATGCTCTCTTGGGCTTCGCGGGTCACAGTCACCCGCACCTGGGCACCTCCATGGGGCCCACATGGAGCCACACCAAGAATGGCAAAAAGTGTTAGGAATTGTTAATCAACCCAGCTGTGTGGATTATTTCATTAATTTGAACCTACTACCCAGTCCTCAGGAAATGGAACAAATATAGGTAGTGTATACTGAAATCAGCTGGTGGAAATTTGAGAATGGGGGTGGGGTGGGGATAAATATCAAGTGAAATAGCCTAGAACAGTTCAGAGCATGGGGTCTCCCCTAGGTGAACTACTAAAACTGAACAGTGTGAGAGGAAATGATACAAATCAGGATGTAAATTACATGAGAGAAAACAAAACAAAACGGAAGACTGGGTAATGGCATAAATAGGTAAGCTTGACCAGCCCTGTGATGTTTTGCTCTATTGGACCATATTTTAAATGTAGACTACTACATTTGAATATTGAATCTACCATATGTTTAGACGTTGTTCAATGTAGAGAAGACTCACTAACTTTTAAAATAATTTTGTAATTCTATAATGTAATATATAATATAATAATATAATATAATATAATCCTTGGAGTGAATTATATTTAGATTGAAGGTATAATTTTATAGAAGACTAGTGTGACCCAAAGAATGAAAGACATTAAATAAGTCAACAATGTCAGTCATAGACTACATAGTAAAATATTAGAATAAGATACTTTAATTGGAAAGTAAAATAAGACTTGAAATCATATTGAAAACAATTCTAACCAGACTGTCAAAAAAAAACTTACACTGTTCTTATCTCAAAGATCCTGCCAGAAGCCACTTTCCTCACACTGCCTAAGGACAGAACAATTAAGAAAATGCAAAAGTGGTTTATAAGTTAGATAAAGCAAATGATACTTCAGATCTATGATAAACTTATTTCAAGATAATACATTCAGATTTGAGGTCTCCGAAAAAGAAAACATTTGTTCCAGGGACAGTGACAAAAGCATTTTCTGTCAATGAGTTAATCTCAGAAGAGAAGGTTTTGTACCTGGTGATCCACTTTGCCCTTCTCTACTTGTCAATTTACCGTCAAAAGGGAAATAGTATGGAGATAGGCCCTTATCTCAACATATATCATGGAAGTGTAGGGGAGAAGCTGAATGCAAAGTAAAAACTGCAGAACAAAAATCATCAATCTTATGTGCAAGTAGATTAGTGTAGATGGCAGTTTATCACATCTGGATGAAGAGGGTTGCAGGTGGCCTTCAAAGAAGCAGCTTTAGGAAGGAAAAATCAAAGTTCAGACTAAAGATCTGAGTGGTAGGAAAAAAATGTAATTACTGGTAGACCATTAATTATCTGAGAATTTCTGTTTAGTAAACTTAAGAAGACAGTGATTTGTAACCATATATATATATATATATATATATATATATATATAATTATTTTTACCAATTGGCATACAAATTCCAATTGATTGCTTTATGTCAAGCAATGCTATATGTCAAGCAATGCTATATAGTACACTTAACATTACTTATTTAATATTTATGACAAATTTGTGGTGGAAGTATACTACTATTAATTATAATAGCATCATTATTTCATAAGTGAGAAAACTGAGTCACCAGGAGATTAAAATATTTTCCCAATATTGCACAGCAAATGAATGAAAAACCTAGAATTCCATCCCAGATATTTAGGGTCTAAAAACTATGCAGCTATAAACTGCATTATAATGATGCTATTATGGAAAACATCAGAATTTTGTATGAGAAGTTTAGGTTAACTTATAAATTACAATTTTACTATAAGAAATCAGGAAAATAGGCCAAAATATTAATTTATGGTTACATATTACAATAATTAATATCCTTAATAAAATCATTAAAAACATTTAAGAGTTGTGACTAAGGATAATTGAATTCAATATGTAATAAAATATATGCTAGTCATGACCTTAAATTGAATGAGAAAGTTCTACATTTAACCAGTAACAAAAATATAAAAGACACGTGCCACTGCACTCCAGCCTGGGCGACCAAGCAAGACTCCATCTCAAGCAAACAAACAAATAAACAAAAAAGACAAAATATTTTTTATAAAGGTGACTCACTAGGTTTGGCAGTTAAAACTTGAGTTCAGAACTACCGAGAAAGTCAAATAGAAAGGGTTAAAATGTCAGGGAAAAGGAAACTTTAAAAGAAATAGTTTTGTTTAAAAGTTCCCCTGTATATATTTATAATACATGTATTTTCTGTATTACATGATAATAGGTATGTATGTGTAGGATATAAGCATGAAGAGATACATATGTGTAGATACAGTATGCATATATATGCACACATATACATACATATGCACATATATTATTTACACAGGATCCTTTCGGTGCTGCTTTGCTAGCTGGAAATTGTGGCTGTGGCACCCCTGCTAGGGCTTTGCTCAGCTCTGGGCTCACCACTGGACTTGCTCCACCTACTCAGCCCAGTGGGGCTGTGGTTGGCTCAGTCTACCAGCCCAGATCCTGCGCGTGCACGGGGAATCCACACTCAGCCCCTGGCTGAGCCAGGAGTGCTGTGGGCAGTTTTCAGTTTTGGTGCTGGCGTTTAGATATGGGGAAAGTGATGGTGTTCAAAAACAGATGACAGTAACTGTGGAGCCCCAAGGGATGTTGTGGCTCTTGCCTGGAATGACCCAAGGCTTGAGTCCCCAAAAAATGTCTCAGCTCTCTCTTGTTCCCACCACCCTCATCATGGTAAATGTGGGGGTGGGGGGCATGTTACAGCTCATGTTACAGCTAGTTTATGTTTCATTAATTTGAACCTACTACCCAGTCCTCAGGAAATGGAACAAATATAGGTAGTGTATACTGAAATCAGCTGGTGGAAATTTGAGAATGGGGGTGGGGTGGGGATAAATATCAAGTGAAATAGCCTAGAACAGTTCAGAGCATGGGGTCTTCCCTAGGTGAACTACTAAAACTGAACAGTCTGAGAGGAAGTGATATAAATCAGGATGTAAATTACATGAGAGAAAACAAAACAAAACAGAAGACTTGGCAAACAGGGGTGTGTTACAGCTCTGGCTGTGGAAGTCCTGAGGTCTGGGCCCAAAGAAGGGTCACAGCTCTTCACTACTGTAGTCTTGTGAATGGAGATGTGTGGCTCCAGGCAGCTTTTTCTCTCCTGTTGCTCAGTGAGTGGGAGAGAGGATTACAGTGTTATAGCTATTTTGCATCTGTCATTTGGCAAGTTCCAGTTTCTTGTCCCATGACCAAGAAGAATGAGGTTACATAGACACTGGAGAGTGAGAAAGACAAGGAGGATTTTTACTGAGTGACAGAAAAGCTCTCAACGATGAGAGGGGACCTGAAGTTGGTAGCCCAACATGTGACTGAATCCAGGTTTATATGGGCTCAGAATGGGGGACTGCATGCTGATTGGTCCATGGGCAGGCCTGGGAAAAGCACCATTTGATTGGCTAAAAGGCATCGAGGAAGTTCTCACTCCCATTGTGGACTCTACCTGGAACTGGAATCTCAGTTTTCAGGCTTTAAGCTGTCTTCGGATTGAAGGTTGGGTTGCACCAGGGACCCGACCCTGTCTGCCCAGTAATTTGTCCTTCTCCTGCTGCTATCATTATTAGTAGAACACCCAGGACTTGTTATAAAATGTGTAGGCTCAAGAAAAAAATGAATGGAAGGGTGAGCACTAGTACATCCTTTTATTGTGTTTTTACTTCCTTGATTACTCATGAGATTGAATCAGTTTTTCGATTAGCCATTTGTTGTTTTTGTTGTTTGTTTGTTTGTTTGTTTGTTTGTTTTTGAGACGGAGCCTTGCTCTGTCGCCCAGGCTGGAGTGCAGTGGCCTAATCTCGGCTCACTGCAAGCTCTGCCTCCCGGGTTCATGCCATTCTCCTGCCTCAGCCTCCCCAGCAGCTGGGACTACAGGCGCACATCGCCATGCCTGGCTAATTTTTTGTATTTTTTTTTAGTAGAGACTGGGTTTCACCGGGTTAGCCAGGATGGTCTTGATCTCCTGACCTTGTGATCTGCCCGCCTCGACCTCCCAAAGTGTTGGGATTACAGGCGTGAGCCACCGTGCCCAGCCTCGATTAACCATTTGTGTTCTGTAACTTGCTTAATGTTTTTTGCACTTTTTTATGTTGAGTTTTTTTATTTATATGGCCTCAAAATATTATAAATAACAACTGTTTTTATATCCTTTTTAATTATTTTCCTCTGTTATCGATCTTACAGCTTTTATTCTTTCTTGTGCTTTTTTTTTTCTATTTATAAAAGTAATACGTAGTTGTTTGGTGTAGAAAATCAGAAAATTGCATAAAGCACAAAATTAAGTCAATAAACTTTGTCCAAATGTTTAAATAAACATAGTCCTAATTGCATTCAAATTGCATCCAATTGCATCAAATGGCAAAAAAAGGGCCCTGAAAAACACCTTAATGTGCTATCTTACCTTATTAGGAAACATAACTGTGAAGAAGTCTTTAGCAATATATTATCTCCAGTTTTTACCTTTCTATTCTATTTGTCCAGTGCTATAAGTCACGTTATTTATTTTTAACTTTTTCTCTTCTTCAAAGAGTTAATGAGTTCATGTGGCATGAACTATACAGGTCATAAAAAACAACCAGGAAATCATTTGTGTGGTTACATACACATTTAGTATGAAACAGATATGAGAGGCAAAAATGGAAGCTTGAAGTGAACTAGAATTATGCAGGGTCCCTTTACAGATGCTGTACCAGTTATAATTTAATGTTTTCCTGCTTCAAGTCCGCCCTTCTATACCCTGTTTTATGATGCTGGGCTTGCTCCTCTGAAATCGACTTTTCTCCTTTGCCAGCTTCTCTGTTAGGCTTTGCCAGTAGGGAGTGCTAAAGGAAAACCGCAAAGGTGGAGTTATAAGAAAAATACCTGCCCCCTCCTGTTAACCTCCTATTGGCTCTATTTCTGCTTGCCGTTTCTCTGAGTGCCACACCTGCCACGTCACTCCAGAAGAAGCATGCCCTTCCCATAGCGGCAAGAGACTACAGTTGTCAATTTTTCTACCACTTGCAGAACCAGATTCAGTGTTCTCTTTCTGAGATGGCATCTCAGTCCCACAGGGCCCCTACTTCCTGATCTGTACAACAGCTCCAGATAAACAGTGCCTCTTCCTGAGAAGTTAAAGCCAACCTCCACAGGCCTTTTCTTTAATAATTTCAGCTTCTTCTGTTTTTGTCCTCAATCCTAGAGATGGAAACTTCTGCCAGCAGTGTGACCGCCATGATACCTTAGTGTTTACTTTTTAATCTTACTGTCACAATTTCCTTAACAATGCATTTGTATTATACAATATTTTTTTCCTTTCAAATAATTAATGTGATTTATTCACCTATCAGACTGATAAAGATATGGTCCTCCTTTCTCTTCAATTCTCTTCAAATCTCTTGAATTCTTTTGCTATTTCGCATTTACCATTCTTATATGTGTTGGCCAGTCTTCGTTGTGATTGTCAATGAACAAAGGACTGTACCGATGCTTAATCAGTTGCATATTCTTATCCTCTGTTTCTTTAACCATATTCTTCAGGGCAGGTAAAGCCACAGTGAAACCTGCATTTTGTCATACATCAGTGTGATTTTCTTTTCTTCTTTTTTTCAACGTCAGAAATGTTATTGCAATAACTTCTGTTATCATTATGAAAGAAAACTCTTCAAGCAATCAAAATACATTGCAAGAAAAAAGGCTGCAGTGAAATAAGCAGGATATGTGATAGAACACAGGAATCACAAGGGAATATATGTGATATAATCATTATGTAAAGAGATAAAATCACTTCAGATAATGATGGATTCAAGAATAACTTTAGCAAGTTGGTGGGCACCAGGGTCAAACATAAGTTAAAGAAGAAAAGATATTGGTCAGGAGTTTGCCATTATATACACGTAGCATGGCATTACTACCTTGGTTTTAGGTGCAGTGAAAATAGGTCTTTATAACCAGGAAAATTACAAGTTTTGTTTGAAACTGTTCTGTGTGAGAGACATATTGGGCCTTTAAGCACAGATGTTAATTTGGCACTTAAACATAGGGTTCTGTGGCATACGACAAGCAAGGGTCAAAATTGAAGGTAAACCTATATACACATTTCATCAAGTAGCTAAGCATAGTTATACAAAATGACTGTAAATAATATATAATGCACCTCTGATATTGATTTCCAATACCTTGCTAACAGGGAACTGTTAGATTGGTTCTGCACTAGCACAGCCTGTATGTGTCTTTTCATTGCCCACGCTTGGCTGCTTTTCTCCAAGGTATTCCATGCTATTTTCATTTGTAACATCCTGTTCTGATTTTTGTTTCCTTGAGACAAAACACCTATTTTTCTTACATTAAAAATATATTACAATTTCTGAAAGTAGAACAATAACCAAAAAGTATTTCTCTCTTCTGACAATACATGATTTAAGCTTTTACTATTTGAATTTTAGAATCTATTTTGTTAGGAACAGCTTGGCTGTATAACAATGTCTCCCTTTTGTTTCTGGATTTTCCACATCCTGAATAAAGACTATGAGCAGTCCTAGTATATGAGAATCCAACTTCTAGGCTAAATTTTAACTGAAAAGTGATTTTTGTTATTGACTAGGAACATGAAAGTTATGATGTATTATCTGTTTTATTATCTAAACTCCATGGAAGCAGCAATTCTGTATTTTGCTGTGTAATTACTTCATATAATAAAGTGTGGGCACTGTTCTCCACAAATCCAAGGCAAATAAGTCTCAGCACTAGTTAAGCAAATTTACATGGTGATGATGAACTTGTGAAACTCACCATTAATAATGATCACAGTTTAAACACTTAAATAGCCAGTTTTCCTACCAGGAATGAAAAGAAGCAAGTCAAAAAAAAAATTCTGAGAATATTAAAGAGTTAATAGGCTCTCTGATTAAAAAAAAGATGTGTTTTTTTCTTTGTAACAGTTTCCTGCAAAAGGTCAGTAGCTTTCCTTTGTTCATTCTTTATTAGTTAAAATTCCTTTCTGTTATTAAAAATTTTAAATCATTTACCTAATTAGGAAATAAAACACACACACACACACACACACACTTCAACTACCCACCTGCCCACAGACACACTACTGTAGATGTTGTTTTAATTTTAACCAGATTTAAAGGACTCTCTTCCCACTTTTATGAATTGGGATTTTAAAAAAGCAACAATAGACAGTATTTTTTTTTTTTTTTTTGGAGACAGAGTTTTGCTCTTGTTGCCCAGGCTGGAGTGCAGTGGCGTGATCTTGGCTCACTGCAACCTCTGCTTCCCGAGTTCAATCGATTCTCCTGCCTCAGTCTCCTGAGTAGCTGGGATTACAGGTACTGCCATCATGCCCCGCTAATTTTATATTTTTAGTAGAGACAGGGTTTCACCATGTTGGCCAGGCTGGTCTCAAACTCCTGATCTCAGGTGATCCACCCACGTCGGCCTCCCAAAGTGCTGGGATCACAGGCATAAGCTACCATGCCCGGGCACAATAGACAATAATTTTTATCATGTCTAGTCAAACATTCCTTGAAAAGCAAGATGGTTTATGCCCAAGACACATTGCATTCTAAAAGTTGATTTGTATTTGCAAATATGATGTATTTGTCAAAATAAAACAAGAAAAACAATATAAAATACACTGTTCTTGCAGTTGTTCTTACTGTAGCTCATTTAAAATAAATTTAATAGTCATTCTAACAGGTGTGAGGTAATATGTCTTTATGGTTTTAATTTGCATTCCCCTAATGATTAGTGATGTTGAGCATTTTTCACATATACCTGCTGGCCTTTTTTGTGTCTTCTGTTGAAAAACTTCTATTCAGATCCTTTGCCCATTTTTCAATCAGGTTGTTTTCTTGCTATTGAGTTGTTTAAGTTCTTATATTTGTGGATATTAACTCTTTTTCAGACATATAGTCTTCAAATATCAGATGGATGTTTCTCCCATTCTGCAGGCTGTCTTTTCACTTTGCTGAGTGTTTCCTTGGCTGTGCAGAAACATATTTTCCTTGGCTGTGCAGAAACATTTTCCTTTAATTTCTTCTCATTTGTCTATTTTTGCTTTTGCTGCCTGTGCCTTTGTGTTCCTGTTCAAAAAATCATTGCCTAGACCAATGCCATGGAGTTTTCCCTTGTGTTTTCTGCTAGTAATTTTACAATTTCAGGTCTTGGGTTTAAATCTTTGATTTATTTTAGAATGGTTATTACTAAAAAGACAAAAGATAACAAGTATTGGTGAGGATATGAAGAAAAAGAAACTCTTACATACTATTCATGGGAATGTAAATAGTTACAGCCATTATCGAAACCAACATGAAGTTTCTTCAAAAAATTTACAAAGGAAATAAAACCAATACGTTGAAGAGATATCTGCACTCTCATATTTATTGCAGCACTATTCACAATAGCCAAGATGTGGAATCAACCTCAGTGTCCATCAACAGATAAATGGATAAAGAAAATGTGCTGTATACACATGATGAAATACTATTCAGCCTTAGGAAAAAAATCCTCTCTTTATGACAACTTAGAGAACACTATGTGAGGTAACACAAGTAAGGCACACAAACACAAATACAGCATCATGTCACCTATGAATAGAACCTAAAAACGTTCAACTCAGAAGCAGAGTGTAGAATAGTAGTTACCAGAGTCTGGGGAGTAGAAAGATTGGTCAAAAAATACAAAATTTTATTTAGATAGAAGAGATAAGTTCAAAAGGTGTATTGTACATCATAGTGACTATAGTTAACAGCAATATCTTGTATACTAGAAAATGGCTATGAGAGTAGATTTTCAGGGTTCTCACCACAAGAAATGATAAGTATGTGAGAAAATATACGTGTTAATTTTCTTGATTTAGCTATTCACATTGTATACATATAACAAAACATCGTGTTGTATACCATAAATATATACAATTTTAGTTTGTAAATAAAAAATAATTAAGTTTTATATATACTATTAATTAGGGTATCTTTTATTTTAATATCAGTAAGTATGAATTGAGTAGTTTAGTAAAATACATTATAATTTTCGAGCAATGACATATTTTACAGTGGGGACAATAAGAATCTTAAATGGAACACTATTAGCATACATGCGTGTGTGTTTTTGTGTGTGCAAGTGAATAAAAATAAAAATATATTTATAAATTTCATTGTGACAGGTATAGAAGCTCTGATATTTATAGATGCCTGACTAAAATAGACAAAGCATATTTTGTAAGTGCAAGTCTTGTTAAAACTTTTGCTTTTGAATATAAATTGTTTTGCAATATCTTGTATTTCTTTCAGGTTATGAATGGCTGGTTATTGTAATATTTTATTGAAAATAAGCTTTCAAATTCATAGACCATCTTTATTGCAAAATGATAACCTTTCTTTCTTCTTAATTTACTATTCACTATTATTTGATATCATTTGTCTGCTCTCTTCAGTGTTCTGACAGTTCTGGCATTCTGCCATGTTCATTTCACTTTTCACTAAGGTGGAGTGTTGGAGAAAAGTGTAAGGTACTATTTCCTGGCTTTACATCATACAAAAAATTAGAATTATCATGTGTAAAACGTTTAAGGGATATATTTTAAATTATTTATAGGATGTGTTTAGAGTGAGGAAATGAACAGAGGGTCAGTAATTATAAATCAATTATAAATAGAGGATGTCTGGTAGTTTTTAGAAAATAATTTACTTCAAAAATGTCAAACTACAATCCTTAATAATTAGACAAACAAATATTAGTTAAGTTTTCTTTAAATATGACAGTTTTTTTCTGATAGGCTTTTCACGAATGTAAAAATATTTAAAAATACGTTTTTCAAAATGATTATTGTAATAAATATATCTTGATAAAAAGAGACAGCAAATTCTCATAACTCACCAAATAATCATGTTTCTTTGTTTTATCTTTACAGGCTATTATAGACTCCTCTAAAATTTTTTAAATTAATTTTGGCAAAAATGTCAATTATCTTCCATGTTTATAAAAACAAGTTACAGCAACAGATGCTAAATTGTTGAGTTCTTAGTAGCGGCCAAGGCAAAGAAAACGCTACCATATGAGCTTGCTATCAGGGAGTGTATATGGGAGGGCCACACAATTACAGAAAAGTGACTTACTAAAAAAGTTTCTATAAACTGTAATCTAATATTTTAGTTTTTATTATTAAAAACAACATAAGTGTATTATATAAATCTTGAAGAATAAAAGGACGGATGTTCAGGGGAAGTCTCTATAACTCCCATACCACAGCAATAATACATGGGTTAATATAGTAAAGGTAAATCATCAAACGTATACCAATGATTGAGTTAGAAAAATGCTTAAAATGTCATGACTCAAATGGCCTTGTCTCATGCAACATGAGACTTCATTGTAAAAGTTTAGATACAGGGAGAGAACACACTTATTTCACACAAAGCCTATTTATCAATGCATAAATTATCTGCATTATAAATTACCTGTGGAGGTAAATTCTCATTCAGTGGAAACACACCTAGTTACATACATCTTACAGTGTTGAAACATGTAACTAAAGGTGATTGAGATGTGAATGATTCTAAAATAATCCCACAATGAATCTGGACCTTGTAAAGTCACCTCACTTTTGAGAGTGGGTGGAACCTATGAATATGATGAGCTATCGCTGAAGTGATTATGTTACATTATATAGAAAATTGGCTCTAAGAAAAATAGTTCATATAGGTGCTCCTAACGTTATAATTTTGAGTCTGTAAAAGCAGAGTGTTTTCTTCAACCGGTGGCAATTTTAAAAAAACATTGTCTTTTGGGAAAGAAGATATTTTAAAACCACTTGATTAATTTTACATTCTTCAACTATTATAAGTTATCTATGTAGAGCATTCTGTCATTTATAGTATGTAATCACAGTACTGTAGCTAATAAATGTTAATGACTTCTAATTTGTATTCCCCAGAGGGTGTAGTAAAATATTTACAAAATAACTGATGATTGTAAGACATGTCTATGATTTATATGACATTTACATGATGATTTTAAGATCAAACTATTATGAAAGAGATATGAAAAATCTTTCCAGTGTGAATATTCATATACAATTTAGAATTATATTCATAGTCTCGATAAAAATCTTGCAGCTAAGTTTACATTATTTAGTGTTATATAAGATAGAATAAACTTATAACCATATGACACATGTTTATGTGTGTTGAAACATTTATTACATATTTATACATATATTAAATGCAAATATATATGACTTTAATTAACTTTACCAACTTTTCTGTCTAAAATTTCCTATTGGAAATTTATGTTCCTGTTGTTCACTAAATACTGCTAGTTTGACAGCCACCTGTTCTGCTGTCTTTCTGTTGATATGATATACAGCAGTATTCAGTAGCCCTTAGCGGCAAGATTGATGACATTGTTATTCAGCATGTGTTGGAAGTTTTTAGGATATAAGCTAGATGGGATGGAAAAATCTACCCAGTCTATTACCTCAGTACATGTTTTTTATAACTGAGAAAGTCATCATGCCCTCCAAGAGACCATGTTCTTTTATGGAGGCTAAATTGACAAGCTGCAGAGAATTCTCTATTGTGTTTGAGTTCCTATTTTTAAGCACTGAAGTAGACTTTTAATCGTTTTAGTATATATTTTTTTCTACTCCTCAGTATAGGTAAGACCAATCTAATCTTAAAATGCTTTTATTTTGTGAGGGCTATTCCACTATGAACATTACTTTGAGAGATTCCTAATATCTTGTGTATGTGTATATATGTTCATATATACACACACAGTTATAACAATGTTACTCTTCTTTCCAATAAAACTTGCTTTGATATTAATATTGAGAACATTGGACTTGAGATTTCCTAATGTACTATTTTTCATCTGTGTTTCCTCCTATATTGAAAAAGAAATAGTCTGAAATATTAGACGAGTACAAGTAGTGCTAGAAAATCTAGTCTTACACAATTGTTGAAGAAAATTTATGTTTGTAAATAAACACATTGCATTTTTACTTGCTTTTATATATCTGCCACAAAATGCTTTTCTTCTTGGATCCCATTTTATTTGTACTAAACTTTCATTTATTTTGATTTTCTTTTACTGTTTGTCTATGTTTCTTTATCTGAATTAGATCTTACATGATCTTCTCCTTTTGTGACCAATGCCATAACAATACTATAAATTTTCTTTATACCCTGATTACCTCAATACCTCAATCATTTTTCCCAGATCATCAAATGTTATTTCTCTTATTCATTATATACATATTGAGTATTGGTTCAAAAATCTTTGCTCCATATGGCATCAATACAGAACAGGGCCAACTTTATTGTTCTTATGGTTATTATTTTTGACATCAAGAGTTCTTAACAAATTCTCCTCCCTGATTGATGTAATCCCATTTTCTTCTATAATTTGTGAAGAAAAAAATTCTCTTCTAGTCAGGGTGTCTTATCTGCCTCTTAAACCAATCAAATTTATGTCTTTGTGTTTTCCTGATTCACAGTATTGCTTGTCCTTCTTGTTGTGTCCTTTCATACTCTTTACCCATCCAGCCACCTAGGTAGCCTGCAAACAAGGATTATAAATGAAATATTTTTTTTCAGGAATTGTCTATGTTAATTCCTGCTCCAAAGTGTCTCTCTTCTCATTTCCAAAGTTAAATTATTAAATGTCAAATTTTAATATTTAAAATCATAGGGGACCTTGATATGCATTATATAGTTATTCCATGTTATAGATGTCACCTCTTTTCCCTACTATCCCCTTCTTTTCATTCCATCACTAAGTTTGAACTCATAAAAATTATCTGTATTTTACCTGTGTATAAGCACGTGTGTGTGCATGTGTGTGTGTGTGTGTGTGTGTGTGCTTGCGTTTCCAGAACAAAACAGGAGACAAATCCATTCATTCTGAAATAAGTATTTAATCAGATTTGCCAAAATAGTGATGCTCTTAATGGTATACTGATTTTTTTTTTCAAGTGAGACCTTTTCTGATTTCAAACTTGACATTTAGACCAATATGGTGAAACCCGTCTATAGTAAAAATACAAAAATTAGCCAGGCCTGGTGGTGTGCATTTGTAGTCCCAGCTACTTGGAGGCTGAAACAGAAGAATTGCTTGAACTGGGGAGGTGGAGGTTGCAGTGAGCTGAGATCGCACCACTGCACTCCAGCCTGGGTGACAAACTGAGACTCCCTCTCAAAAACAAAACAAAACAGAAAATCTTGTGGTATGTCCCACGTCTTTCATACTATAGTAGAAGTAACTTTGCTAAAACTATGTAAGTAAGAAAAAAAACTTTAAAATATTTTTTCTACATATTTGAAGATTTGGTATTAAAACTCAGATTGCTTTTGAAGTGAGATTAGTCATTAGTTTTCAAAAAAACCCCACTTTTCATATAAAGGTTTTGACACGTTTGCTAAAAGAATGGAGCTAAAAACTCTTTAGAAACTCTTAGATATTCACATGTGATTGAAAATTTATAAAGTCTAACCTGTGATAGAATTTAAAGTGTTTATTAGAAATGATAAAAATCATATTTGTTAGGAAAATCAAGGCTATAAACACAAGTGTATTTAACTTGGTCAGAGCATATAAATAGCTTTACTTTAAGGAAGATAATAAAAGGTATCCAGTTCCACTAACTTTCAGAAAATTAATTGCTCATAAATGTTCATGAATTTATGTGTCACATTAGTGGACTTGTTTGAACATGCACAAATTATTTATTATTCAACTGCCAGTAATTATGCTGCAGATTTTTCATTTCATACTTCTGCACATTATGTAAACTAACCATTTTGGGTCTTGTCATTGATTCAGAATTCAGCACTTAAATATCAGGAAAGTAGTTACTATAATAATTGTAATTCACCCATTTCTTTGTTTTCAAAGACAAGGAGAGTGCAAGATGTATTCGAAGATTTGTATGCAATCAGTGATAAATATGAGTATATTTCTATTTATCCTGTGTGTATAAAAACTGTAAAATTTGTATGGTTGTGCATCCAATAAAATCGTAGGTATTTAAATGATTATCATGAATGTTAAAGGCAGATTTTGAAAATAAATTGTGTTAATTTAAATATATAAGAAAAAACAATCCATTGATCTGCTAATTAGAATATTTGTTACTATATATTTTGCTTTCATATACCAAATATGATTTCAAAATTATCCCATTTTAAAAACCTCATATATATCATTAAATGTTTAAATAAAAGGAGAACCCAGGTAAGAATATTAAAAAGCATATTAATATTTATGTTTTCTTTTAAGTTTCAGTCACATGCTGATAAAAACTAAAGCATTAAGAATGGTTAGTGCTACTATGGCATTATTTTTAAAAGTGGAATATTCATACTGTATAAACTCCCTAAAAGGCTTTCTTTAGGTTGTGGTGGTGGTAGTATTGCTTATATTTTCAAAGACAATCAGTCTTTGAAAATCTGAATTTGAAATATTCTGATAGTCGTAGAACTGAAGGAATAAAGACCAATCTTATGACCTCTGTTCAGAAGAATCCTACTGAACAGAATAGTGCTATTCTGTAACTTTATATTATAACCACATGCTCAGACAGCTTTCATTCTCTTTGTCTTGAAACAGTGGAGTTGGCGACCATATTGCTAAGATATGTGTTTAATCAATATCTTATTTTTTTTCATCTAGTCTCCTGCTCTCTATACCTCCTGAGACACAGACCTGGGGACTCCTGGCCCACTCCATTATAACTAGTGTTTAAATAAAAGCAAAGGCAATATTATCAAGGAAATTGTCTGATTGAGGTCCCCATATTTTTATAACAAAGGTGAATAATAATATGCCATAAAATTTTATTTCTGAACCAGTTTCATGTCCTACATATATCTTATTTGTGTTGTTAAACTTGTTTGAGGAGCATTTCTTTTGGTTTTTCTTTGCCACTCCATTTTAAAAACCTAAAAGTATCTAAACTACTTAGAGAATTTTGTGATGCCACATAGAGTATGTGATGTCTAGCAATTTATATTTATTAACTTTACTTTTTCCCAATTGAAATAAAAGCTCCTTGAGGGCAAAGAGTATTTCTCCTGCTTTCCACAGTATCTCAAGTACTTTGTAAGCAAACAATAAATATTTCTGAATTAAATCATCAATTAAGTTATGTTAATATCTGGTCTGATATTTATATGAGAGTTTGACCCAGAGTAAGTAAACCCTTACTTTATCAACCTTAGATTTTGTTTAGAAAAATGTCTTTTATTTGTGAATCCAGCTGCTGAACATAAACTATGTTTGGCTTTCCAGGATGTATTTGTAATTTAAATATAAATACTACACAATATTCCCTATGATTCATTTTTCTTTTGCAATGTCCAAAGTAATTAGCTATAAAATTGAGGATATGGTAAAAATCATTGCTCTTGCACAAAGTCTTGGATTGTGACACCCTGATTTCTACAATTCTTCTTGGGATGTTATATTTCTTTTCTGCTTACCCTTCTTGCTTGAGGTAGAAGGAGCAGAATTAATATTCTTCCACTTAACATATCATTTTAAAATAATCATTTAGGAGACTAGGATAGGAATTCTGCCAATTATTGTTCATTACTATTTCTATATAAATTCTAAGATTTGGAAAAGCAATCAAGGATGAGTCTCTAATCTCTCTGTTTTCAACCAAGATTGAAAGGTGTGGTCTCTGTTGTTTCTGCTATGGTTTGAACATATGTGTCTCTCCAGAATTCATAGGTTGAATTAACTCCAATATGATAGCATTCAGAAATGGGTCTTTAGGAGGTGATTAAGTCTTGAGGGCAGAGTCCTCATGAATGGAATTGGGTGCCTTATACAAGGAATTGGAGGGAACTGACTAGGTCTTTTTGGCCCTTTTGCTCTTCCCACTTTCACCATGTGAGGACACAGCAAGAAGTGGCATATTGGAAGCAGAGAACAGTCCTCATCAGACACTGAATCTGCTGGAAGCTTGATCTTGGACTTCCCATCCTACAGAACTAGGAGAAAATAAATTTCTATTCTTTAAAATTATCCAGTCTGTGATATTTTGTTATCGGAGCAGGAACAATTATCTAGTCTGTGATATTTTGTTATCAGAGCAGGAACAAACTAAGATATCTTCTTAAATAATCTTATATTGAACACACCTACCATTCTGTGACGAAGCCCAATTAATACTGAGGATAGATTCATATGGAGAAGAATGCAGGCTCATGGGGAACTGCTCAGTCTAAGCTCCTGGCTGATAGCCAACACCAACTTTCCATTCATGTGTCATACCCATATTCAAAGTGGCTATTCCAGCTCAAGTTGAGCTCTTTCAGGTGACAAAGTTGACACTGGCTGAAGGAGAGACAAGACATCTTGCTGGCTCGCTGGTCCAGGTCCAAATTGAATTTCTGAGACCAAAATAAATAGTCATTGTTGTTTTAAGCTACCATGTATTAGAGTTACACAGCATTAGATTACCAGATTCCCAGAACATCTTTATCGTATCTTCTTCATAGTCTTCTACTAATACACCGTGGTGACATGTTGGTCACCAGAGATTAGTATCACTACAGGACCAGTACCTATTAATTTCAATTAAAGATAAAATCACATTTTATCCAATGTGGTCATCTTATAAATGGTGGCAATACTTTGGAGAAAGGCTTGAGTAAAGAGTCTGGGTGTAGACCAGTGGATGTATTGTAAAAGAGGCTAGGATTTTCCTTTAATTGAGTGGCTCTGGGAAAGTAAACAGGCTTGCATTTGGAATAGATTAATAAACTATAAGTCCCTTCTATGTCAATTCTGATTGTTTCTTGGCTTATCAGGCCTATATTTCCTCCAACAATACATTTCAAGAGTTTATCCTTCAATATATTTCTAAACAGTTTGCACATCTATAAAAACACCCTGTATACTCATTGTCCATTAGTTTGCCATGGTAGTGAATTCACTTTATGTTTGAGAGTTAATATCACTCCAAACCTCTCTTATAATTGAATCCCATTAATTCCACTGAGGCAAGAGAGCCCATTTCCATGTCAGCCTTCCCTGCATAATCTCCTGCCTACAGAAGACAGCCCACATATAGCTTTCCAATGATAGTCAACATCTATTAATGCCCAAATAGAAGAGGTATTCATCTCTATCATTCAGAAATATGGTTAAGAGATGATAAACACCTTGAACATTTTACATTATCGTCTCCCTGAATCTTTGGACTCTTTCATTTAAATTATTTCCAGAATGTCCTGACATTTCAACCTAATATATGGTAGTCAAATATTGAATTCAACCTTCATAACCAAACTGGTAGAACATTAATGCCACTTCAAGGTACACAAGCAAATGCACTAAAATTAATCCTAAATGAATAAATATATATATATAGTGTTAAATATTTTTGCGCTGTAAATCAAACTACTAAAAACTCAGTGGCTTAAAAAAAAGGTACATTTGCTATCTCAGCATTTCCATGAGTCAAGTGTTCAACTCTAGTTTATCTGGGTCCTCTGGTTACCCAGTCCTTGTAGGCTATGACTGGACCTGCTCTCAGGTTCTAGAGGTAGACCACAATCTTGTATCCTGTAGTCTTCACCACCTTCTCCAGAGTTAGCTCATCACATGGCAGTTTGCTTTTGTAAAGCCAGCAAGGAGAATCTGTTTTGTTCTAGCGTGCTAACATGGAGTTTCGTGTAACACAACCTAATTAAGGGAATGACTGCTCATTAATTTTTTCATATTCTGTTAGGTAAAAACAAGTCACAGCAACCACATATATTTAAAGGGAAGGTGTTTTACAAAAACATGAATCATTAGGGTCCACCTTAGGGTGTATCTGGCATGATATTCGCCAATTAAAGGCTTTCTTCTTTACTAGAATATAAGCCCCATGAAAAAAGGAAATTAATTATAGAATAAATAATGAATTCAGCAAAATGCTAGCATATTGTATTGCATATATATAAAATGTGTTTGTGTTTTATATTCATTTGGACCTTAAAATGGTAGCTGTGTGAAAACATTTTAGGGAAACCAAAAGTGTTTAATTTTATGGTAGAATAATCTTGTGAAGTGTTATGTTTTTCTTATTTTTTATCACATATAATTATAACATATAAAATACAAGAACAAAAATGAAAATTTGATTACATAAGCAGTTACTGGTGTCTGTTTGAATTTCTCTGGTATACTTCGACAGTATATTTCTCTCTGGCTCCTGACATATAATTTCTTTCAGTCCTAAAACATCACATATTTTAGCAGGAGTTTAAAATAGTTATCTTCCAGTTAGAGTGCAGGCAGTGATGGATGCAAGCGGGTTCCCTGGAGACCTTGTTAGAGAAAATCACTCATATGTTCAGTGAACATTTGAACAAATGGACCTGCTGTTCTACCTAATGCTAGTGTAATTCCTTGATATACGGTCACTGTGTGTGACAATTGATACTGTCACTTAATTCATAAGAATAACATTTCTAAACACAAGTCACAAAAGCTGCATATTAATGCTTCTCTAAGCAGTTATCATAAATAGGACAAATAAATACATTCTGGTCCAGGCTGTCACTCAATTAAAAAGATAAATCCCATAGTTTAGGAAATTTAAATACAACTCTCATACATATTTTATATATATATATTTTTATATATAAACATACACACACACACACAAAGCATGGACTGTATATATTCTATTTTTCAGTCCACAGGTGTTTCATTAGATGACTTGGCTGCTATAGGTAGATCTGTCTAATTGCAGGATGGAATGAATCCATTTACAGTTTATGTAAAGCTGCCAAAGATTACTTCAATCTGGCCTTCGTGACCTAAAAATAAAACATTTAGATGATTTCCATAAACAAAATTATACTAAATATTCCAAGAGACATCTTTATGGTTTAAAACTAGTGATTGCTTCGATGTTTAATACAAAAGCTGAAAATACATACTAACATAAATTTATAATAATAGAGTTTATTTAAATGGAACAAAATAACAGCTAATCTGATTCCAAAAGTGAATGGCTTTCTAAAATATATTTCCAGGACATTATCTAGCTATTTAGTCCTACATTTAATATTCAAAGAAGGAATCATAGAATAATAAAAGTTCATCTACACAAATAAAAGAGAACAGCAACTGAATAAACCAGAAATTTAAATAATCCAAAAAAAATAACTGGTTGACAGTGAAACATGATTTATTCACTTAATTTAAATAAGTGAATTCTTGAATTCTAGGAGTTGGGTACATTGCCATAGATTGAGATCAAAGTCTAATTTAAAGTCTGTCTCTCTATTAGCTTTTATCAGCTGATTTTCTTTCCATAATGAATACTTTATAGTTATTATCATAAACATAGACACTCCAGTGGGTTTAACCTGGTTTTAAAAATCATCTTCCATAAAGGTTGGGAAATTTAATATACTCACCCAAAAAATTTCAGTAACCTCCAATATTAAAATAATTAGAGTTCATATATGTGTGTGTGTGTGTGTGTGTGTATGTGTGTATACATATGTTGATAAATGTAATATATTTAATAAAATTCATATGTAAAATATAAAATAATCAAGAAACCAATATACAAATGTGGCCAATCTCATATTCTAAAACTGAATTTTCTAGACTCCCAATTTGTAAAAATAAACAAACACAATTATTGAATAATAAAACTAAATACTGTTTGAATATTTCCTATATAGATATTTGTGAGATTATATATATTTAAATTATGTATGTGGATATACCAGAATATAAATATGTAAATTAGTTACATATAGTTGAAATACAGTCACACACAATGTAAAAACATTTTGTTCAATAACGAACCACATTAGGATAGTGGTCCTGTAGGAGTATAATACTGTATTCTATCTGTACTTTTTCTATGTTTAAATACACAAATCCTTAATTGTGTTACAATTGCCCATGGTAACATGCTGTACAGATTTTTACAGCCTAAGAGCAATAGGCTATACCCTATAGCCAGGGTGTGTGGTAGGCTATACCATCTACGTTTATACCCTTTATGATGCTTGCACAATGATGAAATCACTTGATGTGTTTCACAGAACATATTTCTCTCATTAAGTAAATGATGACTGTATATCAAAATAGTATATGTAGTATTCTGTGAACTTTAACTGCATTTTTCTCATGTAATTGTTATTGCTGTGTTCTAATATTAACATTCATTTTAATTTTTGCCATGGTGCAATGATGTCAGAGACGTGCTTTTTTTGATGTATTATATTTATTTCTTATTCAACGTGTATGCATTTTTTTAAAGTTTGATGCAGTTATAAAAATATCTCAGGGGAAGTACAGTACAGGACATATTTATGGTTCCTTTTCAATATAAAACTATGGCACCTCAAGGATTAGATGGGTGAGTGAGGCTTAAAATAAGAAAAATTAAATTACTAACATTAGAAATTAGTAGGAAGTTTGAAAAATAAACAACAGACATATTTGCAAAACGAGCTAAGAAGACAGGTTTCTGATGAGAGAGGAGTGGACTCAGAAATATGGTGGGTGGTTGAGGCTAGGAAGAAATGAAGCCAGTGAGAATTTACTGATGGATGAAAGAGCCCAAGAAGTTTTCAAGGAAAGCACAGGTAGAGCATAAAATGTAGTGGACATTTCATGCCTCATGGAAGCAAAGATTCTGTTCATGTCAATTAAGTACATGGTAAGGAAAATGGTTGTCATATAAATTGTTATTTCAAACACTGAAGTTACAGAATTTCAACATTATCTATAATGAAATCATGTAGGATATATAATTTAGAGTGTTAAACTTTAAATATAACTACTTCCACGTCTTCTGAAGTAAATAATGTTAATAGCATGGTATATATGTATTTATATAATTACCTATTTTCATATGTATGTACAAAAATATTTGAAATATATTTACTGGATTGTTGGTTATTTTCTGAAAATAGAGTCATGTTTCATGTCCGCAATCACATATATGAAAACCTTGGCACTGGATATGTTTCAGAATTAAGGATTTTATTTAGACTTCAGAAGAGTGATGTGATGTAAGTAACTCAGTAGGACTTGTGCAGTGCCCCTTTATCAAACACATCAATATGTCTGCAGTGCAGTATATGAAATTTTACACCTAGTAAAGTAAACAAATAGTATAAAGAACCTTACATCAGTTCAAGCTACAGTTATCAGCAAATGAGTTTACAGCAAATTACATTATTGAAAAAATTCAACAACTCATGGGAGAGATTTTGAAGTACAAATAATGCATTGTGAACCTATAGATATATCACTCTGCAACTTACTTTTCTCACTTAATAATACATTATGGCAAGTCTTTCAGCTGTGAAATATAGATACAACTTGTTTTAGAAATTATTTATGTAGTATAAATTTTAAGCAAAGCATTATTTATTTAGCATTTCTCTGTTGATGGGCATTTAGGACATTTGTTATTCTTTTTGGATTGTAGACAAAGATGGAATATAGTCTAATTAAAAATAATACTTATTTTGAATATGTTGATTAGGGTTTACATTAGTAGAAAAACAATTTGGCGAATTTTGTATTTTAATTAACTAAAAATGATTCAAGAAAATTCATATATATACCTTTATCTCAGCTTAGAGATTAAAGTGATTTGAAACTATACTTTAACCTCCATGACAGCTGGTCCATTTCCAGTCCAACTTTAGTCATGTAGTGAGGAGTTCTGGGCTTTCAGCTCCATTGTGTAAAGTCCAGGGACCCTCTTCTTGAAAGTTCAGGATACCAACTTTGACCACTCAGACCCATCTGTGTTGGTATGAAGGGAACTTCTGTGATGATGGCAATGATCTATTTTGAAATAGTAGTGTACAGGTGTTCACTTTTAGATAATTTATTTAGATGTTTATTTGTAATTTTAACCTTTTTTGAATGTGTAGAATACAAGAAAAAAACTTAAAAATCATTTACCAGTGGAAGTTATTAACTCAAGATATATATAAGAGGATTTAATTTAGTTTTAATTATAATTGTTCAATAAAATATTTAAATATGTTAATGAATGTATTAGATTTTGTATAAATTATAATTTGCATTTCTAATTGAGTCATCTTAAGTAGGCAAAACATGACAGTATTTTTGTTCATCATTCTTATATTAAAATTAATAAGCCAATAGAGTGTTTTACAAGTTAGTCTTTACAAATTTTTATATATATTATACATGTATTATATGAAATATGTCATATATAATGTAGACAATGATAAAATATCACATCAAGCTCATAAAGCAGTTCTATGTGTAAATCCATTTAAAAAAAAAATGCTTTGATTAAAGCATTCCCAGCTACTGGGAAATGTGAGTGAAACTTTTATATTATTCCAGTATCTTATTAAGGAGAAACAACTCCTCTTTAAAGAGAATATCAAACTAAATATAAAGTTTTTCGATAAGCCATTTAAGGGAGGAACTTACATTGCTAAGCCACAAACACTTTTGAATGCTACTACTGAATAGTATATGTAAAAGATATATTTTCTCTTCCATTTCATTGCTTTAAGTACTTTCCGTGGTAACAATCACTGCAGTTGGATTTTTTAAATGATGAGAGACTATTCTTACTACCATATTTTTGCTACTTAAATAGCATTCAGTGTATTAGGAGGGTGAGCAAACAATATACATATACACTGAAAAACAAAATTTTTAAAGATAGTTTTTCCAGAATAAAGCAGTCAATGACACATTTCAACTCATGACCAAATGAGGTTTTAAACTACTACAGTGTCTTGTTTCAAATGCAACAAATTTCAAAGAAAGTTTGTTTAAGAGTTTTCCTTTAAAAATAAAAGTTCTTTACCCAAATCTCTGCAGAACAAAGCTGAAGAGAGTGATTATGCAGCACAAATTATGGGATATATAGTCCAGACCTGGGATCAAAGGAAAGATATTACTGAAGTTGGTAGTGAATATTTTCACTTCAGCTGAGTACTCCTTGGGTCATATCAGCTAAAAGGGACCAGCAGGTTTGATAGTGCTAACAAGACTGAATATGACTTACAGTAGCCTCAGACCTTCAGTAACAGACTTACTGAGCAAAGAGATTACTTCCCAGTCACCAAATGAAATAAGTTAGACTTAACTGGAAGATATTTATGTAGTACATACATGCATGCATACATAAAAACACATACATATACCAGCATCCACATGAAGACAGATCAACCAAATGTACTTTGGAAATTTATCCTTTTCACCATTAATTTAGTTTTTATATATTATACATGTCACCATTTGTAGTTTACTCAATTTCAATAAATAGTAATTATTTAATTGCTTATTGAAAAATGCACTCCCTATGTAATTTTCCCAAAAGGATGTAGCATTGATTTTACAGCTTGTGTCTAATTAAATGAAAAATAACTATGTTTAAGGTTTATATCATTAATAGAGATGAATAATATTAGACAGTTTTGTGCTAAGAAATCCTTTGTAAAACATGTCTAAAAATTATTATAAATATGCTAATTATTCAGAAATATGAAGTGCCAATTTTTTCTTTGCTCTTAAATAACATATATATATTTGTGGAAATTCTCCAAATAAGCTAAAACACACAGATAGATATTTAAATAAAATTTTATAAATGTCATTAAGTATAAGCAATGATTCAATTCCTTATTCCTTCATTTATATAAACGTTGAAGTTTTGGGTTGCAATGTTAAAAGGCAATTCTCTCTGTGCCTCTCTCATTTCTGAATATCTTACACTCAGATTCATGATGCACTGACAATTTTTGTTCTGGACTGTCATTTCAAGGATGTTTGTAAAGCAAGCATCTTTGGAAACTAGAAATTGTGTCTCACTATGGAACAGAGGGCAGCTTAGTTTGTGTCCTGTATAATAGAGACAGTGTCTCTCTTTGAGGAAAAAAGTAAGGTGTGGTTGTAAACATTATGAAAAATTGTGGTTTCTTAAACTTAAATTTCTTCAGCTGGGGCACAAAGCCACTATTTCAATAGCATTCTTCTAGGTCCACCTACATCATCCCCATAGAAATCCAAGTTGAGCAAGAAGCTCATGCAGCCTTCCATGGATAAGTGATAAAGTTTTTGGTCTGTACTCAGGATTCTCATGTCTTCTGTCTGCATCCATGAAATGTGGGCTGGTTAACTTGTTAGTATGCAAGTAAAGTATAAACTCAGACTCCACAGTTATTGACTGGCCACAGTGCTAGAAACTAGAAGGACATAATTTGAGCCAGCAAAAATTTGAGCCTAATACCAATAAGCTACCAACCAGTGAAAAAAGACAAGTTCAGATGTTATAAGAGTCACACAGGAGAGACACATCTACACAACCACTGAGAAATAGAGATGCTGCATGTCTGGTTGTCTACTCTGTACTCCACATAAATTTCTCCTACTAGAATTTCTTTCTGAAGAGACCCTAGTAGAAGAAAATTTTAAAACTGAGACTGCCAATGATGAGATAACAGGACATAAATATTCAGACTCAAACAAAAATGGGATAGAGGTCACTATCTAACCCTTCAGCATATTTTAGTGTACATAGGATTGATTTTGTGGTATGAGAGCCTTACCGTGTTTACCTTTTTCTATAAGGGAGGCAATGATTGCTTTTTGCTGGGAAGGCAAATGTGAGTTTCAGCACCCTACTTGCTTGTATTGTTTTCAACTCATACCTAATAAACTTGCCACATCTTACATGACCAAAGGTGTACAAAACAAAGTGTCCCAGGAAACGGCATTGTGTCAGGATGGAAGATTAGGTATAATACCTGCCTACAGCCTCCTTTTCTGACCACATATGCATAGAAATGAAGGCCATGTGTACTTAAAAATAATTCATGCTTTGATGAAGAAAAATAACATTCATATTAGATCTGAAAATATGAAAATTCTTGAAAGACTGAAAGCAGAAATAATTTGATTAGCAAGAAAATGCAATAGGTTTAACAAGCTGTAAGCTCAAATAGTAGAATAGCTCTGTTGATGATATAACTTGGGAGAAAATAAATTGTACCTACCAGTAGTCAACAACAATCCTTTCCTTAGGCAAGAACAAGAAACATTGGCCTTGACTTAAAATGGCAGAACAATGCCTCCAGTTGACTAGCCCATAAATGAAAAGACTCCACAACTTAAAAAAATGAGAACACTCTATCCCAGAGGCCATGAAAATAGAGAAAGGCTAGAAGAAACAGAAAATAAATATATGCAAACCTGAAATCTATGATAATATGAATAATTACTCTCTCAAAGTAGCACCATTGCCTGTAACTGACTAGCTCATCAAGCTGTTTATTTAATGTACATATAAAAGTAAAATTGGAAGTTTATTTGAAGACTTGTTTTCATCTGGTTTTACTAATTCCCCCTTCACTGTAGTACATCACCATGAGACAGAAACTTTAATGGCCATTCCTAGTAGTATCTGGTGGCACATAAAGTAGTCAATCCCTATTGCTAAATGGGTAGGTAGCTAAATACTTTATTAAATGCAAACACTATAGAAAACAAAAAAATTAAAATTTTAAAGTAAATGAACACAATGATAAAGAGGCACCAAACTCAAGAAATGAGAAAACAGGACTAGTATAAGAGAACTAACAGTACAACAGAAGACAATATTTAAAGGAAAGAATTTTCTCGAAAATTGGAGAGGAGATCATGTCCCTGAGATGAGTGAAAGCTGTTACGTAAAATGCCAGTACCAGCAACACAGATGAGCATAGCTGGAAGTAAAAACATCTTACAAAATTTAAAATATATTAATCTGAATAAAAATAATTAAAAATACTAATACTATGGTAGAAGGTCAATCTAAGAAAGTCTGAGTCCACTGACAAAAATCAGGGTGGAGAAATATGAAAGAAAGTGTGTAAAACAGACACATCCCTCCAAACTGGTAAATGTTTTAGAATTCTTTGAAGTGAGAGTTCTAGGCTGAGAAAACAAAGCACTTAAAGAAAAAATATATAAAATGGAAATAATAAAACACATCTTAAGAATTAAAAAATAAATTTTTATCTTTAAAATAACTTACAGAATATTAACCAAGGTTGTTTGAAATAATAGTTAAAAATAACAAACAAGTAACTCCTTTCAAGAAAATAGACACATTACCAGGGAGTAATACCTATAATAAAAAATCAGTGATTGCCTTTGTATTAGTCTGTTTGCATTGCTGTAAAGGAATTCCTGGGTTGGATAATTTATAATGACAAACGGTTTATTTGGCTCATGGCTTTGCATGGCTGTACTACCAACATGGTGCCGGCATCTACTTCTGGTGATGGCCTCAATAAGCTTCCAATCATGGGGGGGAGGAAGAAGGGGAGCCAGTATATCACATGGTAAGAGAAGAAGCAAGAGAGATGGAGGAGGTGCCAGGCTCTTTTTAAACAAACAGAACAGGAACTCGTATAGTGAGGACTCACTCATTACTGCAACGACAACAACAAGCCATTTATGAGGGATCTACCCTTGTGACCTAAATATCTCCTGCTAGGTCCATCTTCAACAATGGGGGTCACATCTAAACATGAGATTTGGAGGACACAAAACATCCAAACCATACCTGTCTCGTTTAGCATGTACCTCATGCACTAAAATAAACATTGCCTTGTTTTTATTTACTGCAACACTTAGTCTAATCTTCATAGAAACTGTAGAATTTTTTTAGACTTTTTTGTTCTAAATAAGTAATATTCTCACTTTGAATTTGCTTTTAAAATGAAAGAAGAGAATAAGACACAAGAGGAGAAAAAACATGATATTTCTCATGATTGTCATTAAAATGTGTTAGGTGGATAATTGTCTTTTCTAATGCCTTTAGCTTCGGCAAAACTTCTGTGTCAGTCTAACAGTCTTTCTTACTTTTAGCCTGAGTAGTGAAATAGTAACTACTTTTTCACAATCTATGCTATTTAATATCTTTTCTACATTCTTGCAAAAAAGAAACATTTATACATTTTAGAGCATATGTGAAAAAGTACACAAATTAAATGAAGAAAAACATGTAATCCCTTTTCCAGAAACAAATATGGCTGCTACGTTAAATTTCTGTCTTTGGTTTTTAAATTTTTACATAATATGAAAAAATATATGCTATGACTTGATATTGTCTTACAACCATAGAAACAAGCAATTTCCACCTAATGTAAAATAAATTATAAGTATTGTTTTTAGTTGCTATAATATTATTTTAATAGGACATTTTGTAATTTGTTTAATTAATATTATTTATTGAAATTTGTTTTTCATTATTATATATGCTCCAATAAATGTCTATGTATTACTATATCTTTTAAAAATGTTATTTAAAATATTACATGCAGCATAATTACTAGATAAAAAGATGACAATCTATTATAGACTTCTGATAATTACTGTTAAGTCGTTTTCAAAGGAAATTTAGTAATTTACAATGCTTCGAATATTTTATAGGCATTCTTGTTTATGTGTATAATGCCTAACATTGGATATTCTTTTATTATAAAACATCTTTTAAGTATATAGATAAAAATGCATCTCCTTGTTTAAAATTGTATTTCTCTAACAGTAACCTTGCTGTATTACAAATATGTGTTGGCAATTTGCATATTCTTTTGTACATTTTTCTGTTTACTATAGTGGTTTACAGTTTGACTTGGGGGCCAAATAGATTTAGATACTGTGCAGCTACTTAGGGAGCTTACATAGCTTTTATAAATCTCATCTATATAATGGGAGCATAAAGGAGAATGGTTTGTAATACTGAATTTATAGGGCTTTTTTGTAATGATTATTTTATACAATAAATATATATCTGACTCTTGAATAGAACTTTCACTGCTGTACCATAGGTACAGGGACTGTATTAGTCCGGTTTCACGCTGCTTGATGAAGACCTACCCTAGACTGGGCAATTTACAAAAGAAAGAGGTTTATTGGACTTACAGTTCCACATGACTAGAGAGGCCTCACAATCATGGCAGAAGGCAAGGAGGAGAAAGTCACATCCTGCGTGGATGGTGGCAGACAAAGAGAGAGCTTGTGCAGGGAGACTCCCGTTTTTAAAACCATCAGATCTCGTGAGACCCATTCACAATCATGAGAACCGCATGGGAAAAACCTGCCCCTATGATGCAGTCATCTCCTCCTGGCTCCCTCCTACAACACATGGGAATTATGGGAGCTACAATGTGAGATTTGGGTGGGGACACAGAGCCAAAGCATATCAGGGACCATAACAGATTCAACAGTATAGGATTCTGAAGATATGCCAGAATTTGTACCAAGACTCTCCTGCCATGAAGAGCTACCAGAATGGAAGACCGACAGGGCTTGCTGGTAAAACAACTATCTTTCATAACATCCATAGTCAAAACAGGGAGATGATTGTGAGAAAGAGATGAAAGTCATTGGGGAGAATATTTTGCCCTCCTGTTTTGTGTCATAGAAGATAATTTCTTATATTTCACTACCACTTCTGGCACAATGAGTAGAAATCTAAGCACAGAATTCCTGGAGATTGGCAATGACTGGTGTGATGGTTAATACTGTTAACTTGATTGGATTGAAGGATATAAAGTCATGGTCTTGGGTGTGTCTGTGAGGGTGTTGTCAAAGGAGATTAACATTTGAGTCAGTGGATTGAGAGAGGCAGATCCACCCTCAATCTGGGTAGGTACCATCTAATCAGCTGCCAGCATAGCTAGGAGAAAAGCAGGCAGAGGAACCTGGAAGGACTAGTCTTCTGGCCGTCATCTCCTGTGCTGGATGCTTCCTATCCTCGAATACAGACTCCAAGTTCTTCAGCTTTTGGACTCTAGGACTTATACCAGTGATTTGCCAGGGGGTCTCAGCCCTTCAGTCACAGGCTGAAGGCTGCACTATAGGCTTCCCTACTTTTGAGGTTTTGTGACTCGAACTGGCTTCCTGGATCCTCAGCTTGTAGATGGCCTATTGTGAGACCTCACCTTGTGATTGTGTGAGTCAATTCTCCTAATAAACTCCCCTTCATATATATATCTGTGCTATTAGTTCTGTCCCTTTACAGAACCTTGACTAATACACCTGATATCTTACTCTCAAGCTGAAATCTTGAACTCTTAAACTAGATGGGTCCATTCGTTTCTTTCCTTAGAGCAGAGAACATTGTGGGAGCTATTGAGAGAATCTGGAGTTCAACCCTGAGAGTTTGTGGTTTATGAAAAAAGAGAGAATGTTATCTGTGTGTTATAGAATTTCTGAAGATCACAGAGACCCTTACACAGCCAGTAGGAAATAAGGGAACTTTGCGTATCATTACCAAGGAGACAACTGATTGAAACCCATCTCAATTCCCTGTAGCCCTTAAAGAGCACTGGGATGACCTCAGTAACGACTGCCACACCTCATGAGGTGGCAACTGCCATGAGGCTATTGGGTGAGCTTCAGGTAAGTGGGGCTTAAGGAAACGTATTAAGTCCCAGAGTATTCTTAATGGATGAAAGAGCCAGGTTAAATAATAAGCCAAGGCAACCACACTCACCACATTGGCAGACAGAAAATGGCAATAGGTAGAACCAGAGCAACTTAGACATTTTACTTCATTCATATATAACAGTGGGCCACTTACAGCTGATATCTCTCTGCCCACTGACCTTGTTCAGCCTCATAATGCCAGCAGACTCAAACCTATAAGTGGAAAGGCAAAGAGATGTTTTTTAACCAAACTTCCTTCTCGCACTCCATTTCAAGATGTTAGAAATGAAGAGTGAAAGCAGAGGCCAATCACTATTTCAACCTCAGATCTGTAGGGCTGAAATTTAAGTCTACTCTTGGAGAGAGGGTAAAATAAGATTCAAACATCAACTATAAGATTTTATATCTAACCTCAACTGAGGCTTAATAACTAAAAGTGACCAGAAATCAGAGAAATCTTTTAAAGATATAATTAAGTGTTTCGAAAGGGAGCTGTTAGAAAATATTTAAGGTAATGTTTGAAGAAAAACACATTATTTAGAATTTATTCTCCATGGAATTTAAATTGCTGAAAAAAATCAATTTTATGTTTAATGTTCTAAGTTTCCAAATACATGATATATACATATATATACTATTTGTGAAATAAATGACTATCTCTCTCTATCTATCTATCTATCTATCTATCTATCTATCTATCTATAGGGTTTTTTGTTTTAGTGGCTTATATCTTTTTAAGAATGTGTTCATCTAAGTTATGTAATGGGTTGGTATAATTTTGTTAACGTTTCCTTATATTTATTTTAATTTCTATAGAATCTGTGAGCATTTTATGTTTGAGTAGTAAACAATTCCAAGGTTCCAAGGGCATATATGAGAATGGGAAGAAATTGAGTTTTGAGTTGACTAGAATGGACCCTAGGCCTTTAGCAGAAACTTGAATATTTAATGATTGGAGGATATGTTGTCAAATCAGATTAAGGAAGAATGCCTAGAGAGGTTTAGTAAAAACCAGGAAGCTAGATGTGATAGGCAAAATCTTAGCTGGACTCTATGACCTCTGCCCCGCTGTTACTCCTGTAATTAAGCTGGGTTACTTGGCAGAAGTAATAGATGGCACCTGGGCACATACCAATATGGAAGGGATCTTTCACATGGAATAGAGGATCCTATTTAGTTAATGCTATGTTAGACAAAAGAGAGATTATCCTGAATAGCCTTTACCTAATCAGATTAATTATTTCAAAGGAAAATGCTTTACTGATGGCCTCAAAGAAGCAAGTAGCAATTTAGTGAATTGCTTATGGAGAAGGGCTGCTCTCTAGGAACTAAGGGCTGTTACAACTAGAAAGAAATGTTAGGCCAACAACTATAAAGTTTATTTAGAGCTTCATAAACCTGAGCTCCAAATGATGGCACAGCCTGGCGGACACCTTGATTGATTGCAACATTTTAAGATCCTCCGTGGAGGATCCAGATTTTACCAGATTCCTGACCTATAGAAACCGTGAGACCAAAAAAAAAAAAAAAAAAAAGATATAGAGTATATAGATATATAGATATAGATATATATTGCTTTAAGCTGCTAAATTTGTGGTAGTTTGTTATACAGCATAGAAAACAAATACATTGTATTATCACAAAAGCTGAAGCATGTCTTAAAGAAAAAGTGATGAATAGTCTTTCAAATTACTTAGAAAACAAAAATGGCTGGGATTGACAAATAATATTTGTTTAATGAGGTACAGATATTTATTTCACTCAATAAATTTGAGTAAATTTATCTAGAGTTGGCTTGATGGCTTATGGGAGTACAAAGTATGTTGAAGGAAACTGGGAAGGAAGTAGAAAAATAGTTAATGTTAATTATGAATTAACCTTGAATCAAGAGTTTAGCTCTTAACAGAAGGTGAGATCTAAGAAGATTGCTGACAGGGAAGGTAGTTGGAGAGAGTTGTTTTGTTTTAAGGTTGTCAATACATTTTTAAAAAACAAGAAACTTGGAAATTTGTAAAGGCTCTTTAAAAATTTAGTAGAGGAATGACTAGGGAAGAGTGAGGTGATCCAGGTAATAGCTTTTCTTTCTGGTTAAATGTTTTCTTACTAGATCTAATATTGTCAGGTTTTATTCATTTGTCTGTAAATCTCTGATAATTTATTTTTAAAAATTCAATAAACCTATTTTTCTGATAGAAAGCTTATTATTTACATAGTTTTGCTTTTTATGTGCTTATAAAAATAGAATTTTGTTTACTTATCTATTAGCATGAATTAACTTTTTTGGCTTTAAATGTAGCTATTAGCAAATTATGGCATTACAGAAATGTTGTGTTTACTTGTGCCCAGCCATATTGAAATATCCTTTTAGGAGTTCAAATATTTTAATGAATATGTAACTTTTTTTCTCAGCTATTAGTCATTTTGCTAAAACAAGAATACCTTACCTGTGTCAATTACATACCTTTCAAAATAGAAATGCATAAAAGTATAATTCCTGAGGAATTTATCATTATTTTCAATAGCAAGCATATAGGAATTAGTAACGTAACAAGGTTATTTCCTATACTTTAAGGGTTATTTAAGGTTGTATGAGGTTAGAATACAGTTTTTACACCAAACCTACAAGATTCAAGTGTTTTAACTCCACTGATATTGGTAAATGTATATGAAACCTTCAAACATGTTTCTCACTGGTAGTATTTCTGTATAAAAATAGTCATTTGCAGGGTAGAAATTTTTGTATCATGTAACAAGTAGAGATTTTTAATTATTCAGAAGATATGGTAGCTATAAAAGCAAAATAACAATATTTGGTATTCTCTTCATTATAAAGATCTATGTTAATATAAAAGGAAATATAAGAAAGACAATTGCTATATATAGAAGAAGGAATGCGGATGATCTTTACAGATATGTTCTATACGTGTACATTAAGTAACTAGGGAACACATTATGAAAGCAATGTTATTTAAAACTTCTATTTAGAAACAAAATATAGAAAATATGTAGAGCTGATATGTTCACTTACAAGGTACTGAGATAGAATGGACAATGACTATTGCTTTAATGTCTTTTTTCATAAAAATTTTAGGCTTCAGGTAATGTCACTAGAAATCTGACATGTTCTTTCAGCCTAATTAATTGTTACATGTAGTGTATTTTGCTTATTAAGAATTTTAGCATTTTCCATATCAGCAGAATATCAAAATAGTTATGCTTCAATGCCCTTCTTAATGTTATGTGCCAGGAACTATGAAAAAATGGTTAAAATGTACCCTTATCATGATATTTGTTCAAATGAGAAATGCTGTGAAATCAGTTCCAACAAGGGACATGTCACAGTTTGATGTCATTAATATTCAGACAAATGTAAGCAGGAATGTTCTTGGAACTGAGTGAAGATGCTTACTCCACACAGATGGCACAGCTTACTCCAGCATTTGGAGCTTCCAAAGACATGTTCCTAAAGTATGTGTTCCTTTATTTTGATAAAATGAATGCTAAAGGGTACCTCAAGGTCTGTGATATCCAGAATTAGACTGACCTATGTGTAATTGTTAATACTTCTCTAACACACACACACATGCACGCACACACATAGTTCAGTTGGCTCAATTGGTTTCTGCAGAGAGTTTTATCCAATCTTTTGGCTCTCTAGTATGAAAGTCGAATCCAATTTATTGTAACCCCTTGAAAGAGATATTATTTTAAATTCCAAGCCATTATAATGTATGAGTGACAGCAGAATGACCACTAGAAACATAGAAAATGATTTTTTTAATTTCAGACATTTTAATGACAAAACTATAGTTATAGTAAAATAAAGTTAAAATTATTACATATATACTATTTGCTAGTTGATTGAGTGAACATACTTTTTGTTTGCCAATGTAAATACTAGATGCTCTTTTTTGGTTAGGTTATGTGTTTACATTTGGTGTTCAAAGTTTACAAAATGTTTCTTGTATTTAGCTTACTGTATTATACCTTAATGGTGAAGGGTGTGGACTCAGCCCTGCTGCCTCTGTCTGAGTCATGCCTCTTACCTAACTGGTGACCTTGAAATAGATACTCAAGCTCTTAGTGCCTTAGTTCTTCAAGTGTTAAATTGGAGGTAATGATAGCATATGCCTCACAGGATTGTTGTGAAGATTGAAGACTTTAATACATGTGAGGTACTTAGAACTGTGCCTGGCAGATACTAAGTGCTAAAGATATTAGCTATAGATATTTGGTCTAGTGAAGGCACTTATGCCTTTCTTTATGCAATATGAATTCTAAAATTATTCGTCTATAAAATGATCATTTAATCGTTTTTATTTCTTGGCCCTAGATTCACGAGTTGACAAATATTCAATAAGCAACTATTGCATGACAGATTCAGGATTCAGATTTGCATCAGTGATTTCTTTGATCATATCTGCTAATGTTTTGGATCCATGAATCATGACTTCCTTATATCTACTCAATATTAGTTATGTGGCACATCATTTCAGAAGAATGTTTCAACAACATTTAGTGGATATTTTTTAAGTACATTTTCACATTTTTATAAACTGTTCAGTATAAGAATGCTATTCAAAATTAAAAATAACTAGCTATCCATGTTTCATAAATTAGTATATATGGGAATATATAAAACTTTAAAAGGTTATTTATTGACAAATATTGGTAAAATTAAATTAATAGACTGCTCTTTTAATTTGATGCAATTCCACTTTACTTCAAGCATAGGCTTTTTAGTAAATGTTCTAGGTTGTACCAAATTGAAATTTGTCACTGAACTAATATTTAGTGTTAATATGACTCTACATTTTAAAGGATTTACTCTTAAAAGCCTAATTGGTAATAATAGGAAGAGTTGAATAAGAAAATTCAGTAGATATTTGATTAAAAGTATATCAGCTTTATGTAATTTTTCAGCCATTAATAGATTGAATTAATTTGTGTTTTAAATAGAAAAGTACTTGAATATATTTATAAGGGAAGATTTGATCTCTTAGACCTAGCATGGAGTAGCCCACTTTCAATGTAACAGCAGTCACTTGCTGTGTAAGCATAGCAACTCAACCCATTTTTAATACGTTTTTCTTCAAAATGTCAAATATATGGGTTAATGTAGGCTTTTGTTTTGTTTTCTTCCTTGTTATGTTTGCTGTTTATTGTTTCATGCTGATGTCAATAAGAAAAACATAACGTCAATACAATACTTGTGCATAGGGTAGTCTGGAGACTGTTTTGCTATAACTACTATAATAAATCATTTTGTGTGTATGTTGATTTGTTTTTATTATTTAGAAAACCACATTTTGAAATTTGAAACCATTTGGGATACCATTAGATGTTTTGTTTGCATGAAATTTGTGTTACTATTTTAAAAGACAAAATCTGTTTATTATAGAAATTTGTTCTTAGGCAGAATAAATTAAATACCAATGCATGAAAGAAAAGTCTTTCCCGCTGCCTACAAATTCATAGTTCTTCTTGTTAGACTTTTTCAGTTTCCTTTTAGGGAAAACACATTCTTCTACAATCAATACATGGGATGTGGACTGATTGAAGGTTCCCTTGGTCACAGTGATTGTTCTTGGCTGAAATTGTTAAAATTGGAAAGAAGATGTTTTCTTCTGGCATTACTAAGCTGGACCTCTTGGTGGTTACAACCTGAAGAGGGGTTGTTTCAAAATGAACCACTTCAGAGCAAAGCAGGGCTGAAAGCTGGAGAGAGTAAAGGGAAAGCGTTCTGATTTCATCCTACATCTGGATCCATTCATATCCAATGTTGGAACGCACCTTTTCAGGTGGGAAACCTTTACAGTTACGTAAACCAATCAATTTTCCTTGGGTTTTAGCCAGTTTGAGTAAGGGTTATAAAACCTAAAATCAAATTAACCTAATATACGCTTTATAGTGAGTTTTAAACTTTCCTTATGATGAAATAAAACTTCCAGAAAACCTTAAAACCTTATTTAAAGATGTTCAGACTGTATATTCATTAGATGGACAAATCAATATAATATACCTTTTCTCTTCCCTGTATAAAAATTTATTATAATCTAAATAGCAGAACAAAATTGATATATTATCCATACTTTATAGCTTCTTCCTTTTCTTCAGAAATTACCTGAATTATCTTATAACAACTACAAAACAGGCTGGGTAGAAAAACATTGAAATAGCAATTTTTATTAAATGCTAAAACACCTAGTTGGAAGTAAATCTCATAAATTAATCATTGATAATTAAAATGCATTTTGCAACATATATATAAAATTGTGTCACCCACACTGCTCATATATTATTCACACTGTTTGAACCTTTAAAATTCTTTCCAGTTTCATATTTTACTTCAAATAGAAATTTAGTTTACCATATATTATGTCTGACTGTGTATAAGTTCTAAATTTCATTCAAATGGAATGTTTGTGGTGGCAATAGCATTAAATATATGCACTAGTTATGAAAATACAAATATGAAATTTTACATTTAAATAGAACAGAAGATACATTTTAAATGAATATTTCATATCTTGGCTAGCTGCGGGGGCTCAGGTCTCTTATTTCAATAATTTGAGAGGTTGAGGTGGGAGGATTGCTTATGACCAGAGGTTTGAGCCTGAACAACATAGCAAGACCCCATCTTTACATTGTTTTTTTTTTTTTAATTAGCCAAGGATGATGGCAAGTGCTCAGGGGGCTGAAGCAGGAGAAAACTTGAGCTCAAGAATTTGAGGCTGCAGTAAGCCAAATGGAACCACTGCACTCCAGTCTAGGTGACAGTCTAAAATGAAAAGAATAACCCGTATCTTGAGATTGTGAGTTATTATAAAATTAAATATTTTGGTTAAAACTTCACTTGGTAGCAAGTGATCAGGCAAGCTGAATTATTTAAAGAAAGATGAAAATTAGAGAAAATAAAATTCTGAAAAATGTTGGCATAATTTTTGTGAAAATGTAATAAATCCTTTGCAATTTTTGTATCTGGTCTATATTTCATAACTTGGCAGGCAGAGCCTTCTAAAAAGTCTATTTTTGTTTCTTTCTAATCTCTTTGCCTGAGACATACTTATGCAACGTGCTTACTTTATAAATTCCCAATTGTTTCACAAAACAAATCTCAAATGTGTATTTCCTTGTAAAGCATTAGATAAGCATCACTAGATTTCATTTCCCACCTTAGCCTGCAGCACTAAATTCACAATTTGTTGCAGTTAGCAATACACCTATTTTTTTCTTCCTAGATTTAAGTTATTTGCAGAGAATATATAAGATCAATTCTTAAATCTTGATCACTCAGCACAGCAACTACTATATACTGTCATATCAGAAGCCTGGTCTTTGCAGAGGACACAAACAGTGTGACCAACTGTCCCAGTTTTCCTGAGATTGCTCTGACTTCAACACTGAAAATCACAAATCCTGGGAAATTCCTCAGTCGCAGGCAAACTGAGTTCACTGGTCTTCTTAGGCAAAATATTTAGTTTGGCTACTTTCACTCCCAAACAATTTACAGACTTAAAAATATTATATAAATATTTCCAATATTTTTCAAGTTATAAAAATATTCCCTTCAATAATACGAAATTGTGACCCCTATTTTAAAACCAGGTATATAATAAGTATTTAATAGTTACATTACATTAAACTTTATTGAAATGATTTGTCTATGCTTCCAGTATTAAACAAACTCTTTACTCCCCATGGATCTCAATAAACAATGTTTCCCTTTCCTCATTTTATAAACTTCACTATAATAATTTACATTGGACTTTCCATCCTAACACCAGTGATAATTACACAACATTAATTTATCAGGAATAGTTACTTCAGAGCACATCAGATACTACCTTCATTTTCTGTTGTCTTTTTCATTTAATGTTTACCTGCTTAAAATTTTCAACATAAGATTTACAGTGATTTCACCATTTGTCAGTGCTGTTGTTGGCATCATGGACAAACTCCTGGCAGTGTTTAATTGGAGGAGTAAAGGCCGGAAGTTACTCTTCTGGTACAGTAACTGCTTATGGCAATGAAGAACATGTACCTGAATAAAGAAAAAATTTGCTTGACTCTACATATAAAGATACGCTCCAGATAAAATGCAGAGTTATAACAAATTTTTCTCTGTGACATGGGTTACTTATGGCTCCCTTCTCATCCCCTCACACTATGGGCAGAATATACTTTTCTGCTGGTTGATGTTCAGCTTGGCAAAGGGATTTGAATAGTCCACTATAATATAACCAGTTGTAATTTGAGCAGAAGGTTTAAAGATATTTGCACAGTTTTGTTTGTTCTTATAATTCTGGTGTCATGGGAATATCATGCTTCAGTAACTGCTTCCCTTTAAACGTAAGTACAAAATAGAACAGATGTGAACTTAATTCTTCAGCTTTGAAGAAAGCAAAACCAACTGCAACCTAAAGCACAGCCATCTAACTACTAAATATGCTAAACTGTAGTCACCTGCACTTAAGAACCCTCATGGGGGTAAACGTTTTGTCATAAGCTACTGAAATTTAGGATGGCTTTTTACATGGCACTATTATGACAAAATTGAATTATATAGATATTGGTACCAATAGCTTAAATATAAAATACATAGCAGTATCTTAGAAGGGCAGCAGGTCAAAAGGAAACTCTCATAGGAAAGGCAGTGGCTTGTATTATCTTACAATTCAGAAAATATATCTGATGGATTTTTAAAATTGGGCGAGGTGATTTCAAGGCAAAGTATTGGCAATGTTTCTTAGTTACTCTTAGCTGCATCACTAAGGTACACAGGAAAGAGATGCGCTCAAAATAGAATAAGCTGATATGCAAATAGAACTAAAGTGGAATAGAGAGTTTACAAATTCCAAGGCTTGGATAATTAAGCTGTTTTTCTCCAAAACAAGGGCTTGACCATGATAATACACTTGTAGGAAGGAGATAGACTAAAACTAGGGGATTTCCAATATGCATGTGATTATCGTTCAAAATTTAAGAATTCTGAAAGGATAACGAACTGTTCTAGATCCTTCTAGCTTGCCAGAAGGCTTCTAGAAAGATTAAAGCCACGGACACAAAGAAACTGGTAACTCCAACATGTCTGTATCAATTAGGATTTCTCCAGAGAAACATAACCAAGATGAGATAGATATGAATATAGATAATATGAAGATATATATGTATAATATGGCAGACTAGATAGATTATAAATGGATGCAGAGAGAGAGAGAGAGAGAAAGAGAGACAGATAGATAGATGGATAGATAGATAGATAGATAGATAGATAGATAGATAAAGATAGACAGATTTTAAGGAATTCCCTTATGAGATTTTGCCAGGTGACAAGTACGAAATGCCTAGGGCAGGCTAGCAGACTGGAAACTCTGACAAGAGTTACTGTTTTAGTTTTGAGTCTAAAATTTACAAAGACTACAATTTCAAAGCAGAATTTCTTCAGCAGAAGATCTGCTTTTACCCTTTAGTTTTTCAGCTGATTGGAAGTGGCTTATGTATATTAAAAAGGTTGATCTCTTTTACTTAAAGCCAAATGATTATAAATGTTTATCACATCTATAAAATACTTTCATGGAGATATGTAGATTACTGTGGACCAAACTGTTAGACCAATCACAAGAGCCTAAGTACTCATAGAGGAAAAGGCAAGTCTTAGAAAAAAAATGCAGTCAGAACTTTTAGCTCATGAAGTTGACTGGCATTAAAAAATATTTTAACTTCCAAAAAAAATTCTAAACTGAATAAAAAAGAACTAGGTGATAGATAATGCCAATATTTGCAGAAATAAAATTGAGGAAATTAGTTTCTTACCGTCCAATAAAATAATTTCCATTTGCTAATTGCTTTAAAGTTTTGAATGTTGATTTGCATTACCCTTTCTTCTAATATTCTTGTCAGCTTTTGATAACACGAAAGTGAGCTGATGATGTTTTCACTCTTTTCATTTTCTGAAAACGTTTTTGTGTTTTGAAATCACTCCTTTAAATAGATTACTGTTACAATTGTCTGGGGAAGCCATCAGTGCCTGTAGTTTTGATTGTAGAAATGGTTTTATTTAGGGTTTCTAGGCCGGGCATGGTGGCTTATGCCTGTACTCTCAGCACCCTGGGAGGCCAAGGCAGGTGGATCACGAGGTGAGGAGTTTGAGACCAGCCTGACCAACATGGTGAAACCCTGTCTCTACTAAAAATACGAAAATATTAGCTGGGCATGGTGGCACACGCCTGTAATCCCAGCTACTCAGAAGGCTGAGGCAGGGGAATCGCTTGAACCCAGAAGGCGTAGGTTACAGTGAGCCGAGATTGTGCCACTACACTCCAGCCTGGGTGGCAGAGTGAGATTCTATCTCAAAAGAAAAAAAAATATTTCTGATTCTTAAATAGTAATAGAATATTCAGATACTGTATTTATATTTTTCAGTTTTTTAAGATGTGTTTTTCTAGTAATTTCTCTATGAAATCTAAATGTTCTTATTTTGGTACTATGCTTTCATAGTAGTAATTTATTGCCTTTTGATTGTCCACAGGATTATAGTGATGACCTACCTATTCTTTATTCTGTCAATAATTATTGCACCTTGATTTTTAATTTTTATTAGTATTACCAAAAAGTTAAAATTTTTATCATTTTATAGAGTATCAATTTGTTCTTTGATAATATATATTTTATGCTTTTATTTTATTAATTTTACTTTCTATGTTATTATTTTTTTCTATCTGTAGGCTTAATAAAGTGTGATTTTTCTGCCTTCTTTAATATACCCTCAAGTTTTTTATCTATTTTTCTCAGTGTATAATATATTTACGACTATGTATTTCTCTCTGAAAATGGCTTTAATTACTTAATACTGTTTTGATTTGTAGTATTCTCCATATCACACAGTCAAAAATATAACCTAATTTCTAGGGTGTTTTTGTCACTGGCCAATAATATAGTATTATTTATATATTACTTATATTACATATGCAATATATATTTGTCATTCAAAAGACCACCAGTGTGGTTAAATAATAGAAAGGATAGTTTTATTGATGATAATCAGTTTGAAAATCGGGAGGAGAGAGTCTCCGGCATGGATTGAATGTGCTCTTTCTTTGAAGACGGGAAGGGCTTTGGGTTTTATGCCTCACAGGGTCCATATTATAAAAGAGAGTCACACATATTCATCAGGCTTAGGGGAAAAGCTATGCATATTTATGAAAGCGCAACACATACACAATGGGTAAACATATATGTAACATACGTTTCATGTTCACTTTGGAGCAGGGTTTTAGCATTGAAGTAAGGTGGAATTTTTTTTGTTTCAGATAGTGAACTATAGGACACAAAGACAGTTTGTGTGCAGCCCCTATAAACTGGCTGAAACTGGCTTAAGGTCTGCAGTTGCTGATAAAAAAACAAAAAAGAAGGTTTGCAAGGCTGATCCTTTGTTCAGAGTTGTAGTGGTCTAGGCTGTAAATCAGAGTTATGGGGGGGTCTGATCATTGGCCTGATAGCTCCAATTGTTATGAAATTTAACGACAGTGTGTTTTCTCTTGTAGCCATAGGAACTTAGGGAGTTTCCATGCTAGCTGCCCTGAACGTTATACTCATAGGTAACTTTTGTTTATTTAACCTTAAGGTCCATCTTAGTTGATAAAGGAATGTTTATTTTGGTCTCTCAGATTTTATTATGTATTATTTTTTAAATATGTAGATATTTTGCAGGTAATGTTTACTTGTGAATATGTAGCTTTATTGGATTGAGAGGCAGTTATCCCTTTGCTTTACCGATAAACTCTATTATTGTGAGCACAGATATTTAGAATTTTTATATATTCTTGGTGAGTAGATCCTGTAATTATTATGGTATGCCCCTATTTATCTCTAGTAATGGTTTTTGGCTAAAAGCCTTTTTATTGGTTATCAATATAGATATACTCATTGTTTCATTGTAGGTTGTTGTTGTTTCTTTACATGGTAAATCATTTATCTGTTGCTGTGTAACAATACATCCCAAAACTAAGTGGCTTAAAAAAAGCAATAACCAGTTATTATTTCTCACAATTTGTGTGATTGAGCAGCCTAGCTGGACTTTTCCAACTTCAGCATCTCTCAAGAGTTTGCAATCAAGATATTAGTTGGGGCTACAGTTATCTGAAGGGTTGACAGTGGCTAAGGAATGAGTTTCAAAATTGACTCTCAACATGGTTAGAATTAGTGTGCTGAATCTTGGCATGCAGTGTTAATTTCTTCTCAGTTTTCCTCTCTCCAGGATACTTGCGTGTTCTTGACATGAAGGCTGCCTTCCTCCAGAATAAGCAATCCAAAAGAGAACAATGTAAAAATCATAATATGTTTTATAATCTAGACTATGGAACACTGACATTGCCTCGAAATTCTACAGGTAACACAGGTCAACTCTATTAAATATGATAATATAATTTTGTCCTACACATGAGATATTATGTGAACAGGAGGTGAGAATCATTGTTGGCCATCTCAGAGATTGTCTACTATTCCTAACATATCTTGGTCTATCACTCAACTTCCAAACATTCTACGTCTTTATATTTTATACAGGTTTCTTATAAATAGCACATAGTTTTTAACAATCTGTCAATTATTTTTCTTTACATTTGAGCAGTTAGTTAATTTACACTTAACCTGATTTCTAATCTATATTAGTTTAAGTACAGTAACTTATTATATGGTGACTTATTTGCATTACTTATTCAATGTTTATTTTCCTCTGTCTTTTTGATGAATTGATGTGCTTTATTATTCTATGTTCCTTCTATAATTAGCTTGGCAGTTTTGTGGTATACATGTGTCTGTATGTTCAACGTTGTTTTTCAATGTTTGTGTACAGACTGAATCATACTTTCTTGGCTAAGGAAATCCTAATATTACTTTGCTCTTTTGTTTTCTTCTTCTTAGATAACACAAAGTCTTTAACAGATTTTTTAAAATTCCATTTTCTGCAAAGCCTAAATTATATGCAATTATTTTAGTGTTTTAAATTCTAACACATGTATTCATGCATCTCTTATTTTATAAGGTTAACATTCTCTTAGTCTACATATTTACAATCTTCAAATGTCTTTCTACATTTCTGTGCTATCATCTGGACATTATTCTTTCTTCCTGAAAAATATAATTTCCTGTTTCCTTTTCTGTGTGCCAATTGGTAACAAATTCTAAAATTTTTGTGTCTCTAAAGCTGACTTTATTTCACTTGTGTTATAAAATATTTTGGCTGGGTTGATAACTTTTTCTTTACACGTTGAATGCATCCTTCCACTGTCTTCTCTTTCCCATATTTATTTTATTTCTGTTATTTGTGTGGAGGATGATATAATTGTTGCTCCCATGAGTGTAATTCATCTTTATTCCTGGTTACTTATGAGATTTTCTCAATATTTTTACTTTTCAGCAGTTTTACTCTGATGTGCCTTGTTATTGCATTTTTATTACTTTGTGGTTTGTGGGTTTTCTTTTAGAGTTTGCATTTAAAAAGTCAAATTTTTAGACATTTCTATGGGTTTGTTTCTGTTTCCTCTTTTAACTCTTGGTTTGGATCATTGTATAGTTGCCTGGTTTATTTAATTGAATGACTAAAACTATATTTAAGAAAATGTAGAAATAATGAGAAGCTTAGGATGATATACTGGTTTTTCAAAAGAAGGATTTATATTTTCTCTCTGGGATAATCTTTATTTCAATTTCAGAAATTAAGAGGATTAAAAGTTAAACTTAATTTCCTTTAAGAACTATTTTAATTATAGGAACAGTAGATTTCTGAGTGTAGACCCCAAAAGTCTAAGCCTAAAATAAGAGAGATTTACAAGGACCTACCTTGACATAACCTGATCTGCAGTTTTTATGTTCTTAGGCTTATGACTCTCTCAAAGACCCTTTTCTCCTTATTATCCTAACAGGTATCTCTGAGAATTAGCAGACTGATTTAAGGAACATGAGGTTCCAAAATGCTTGGTTAACTTCCATATTTCCATCATCTCCCTAAATTTTTGTCCCATAATCCTTTTGTTTTACCCTTTCATTAGGTCTTTGATATTTTGAATGAATATTAGTAAATAGATATATTGTGGCAGATTTTCTTTTTGGCTTTACAGGTTTGTTGTCAGAGTTACCTAGCCCAATATTACTCCATGTTATTTTAATAGAAAAATAATTAGAGGCCTCATATAGGTTGTTGGGCATTACTGACTTATTATCTTTAAATAGTTGTGCTTACTTTTTTCTATTTAATATATATGTTAAATATGGTCAAAATAAATGTTATTTCCTAATGTTTTCCAAATGAAATAAGAAATATAAATTGAAAAGTTTTAGATTCAGAAGCATAGTTCTATTTTTTAAAGTAAAAATATTATCATTTAGTTCATTTTGTTGCATACTTTAGTAATTTTGAAAGTTGATTTTAAGTATCTGCATATTGTTATCGATAATTTGCATGGTTATACCAGGAGCCAATATGAGCCCAATATTATGAAACATTTTGTACTATTACACTAAAATATCATTAAAGTTAAAAGTTATAATTTTTCATGATATAATGAGCCTGCTATCAAGTATCATATTTACCATTACCAAATTAAACAAACAAATAAAAATAAACAGTAATCAATCAAAATAATCAACACAGTATCTGAATATAGATAAAACAATTATATTCTACCTAAAATTAATTTTTTTCTCACATGTTTTGTTTACAAACCTAATTATTAAGGAATCATAGACACATATACAAGAAAAGTTTTGTGGACATAAATTCATCTATAAATTACAGTATATTTATTTATTAATACCTTTTCCCATAAAACTGTGCAGTCTATGCTTTATAAAAATCTTAAATTTGGCCTGGTGAGGTGGCTCATGCCTGTAACCCCAGCACTTTAGGAGGCTGAAGTGTGTGTATCACTTGAGGCGAGGCCAGGAGTTGTAGACCAGCCTGGCCAACATGGTGAAAGCCAGTCTCCTCTAAAAAATATAGAAATTAGCTGGGCGTGGTGGCACATGCCTGTAATCCCAGCTACTCGGGGCTGAGACAGGAGAATCACTTGAACCCGGGAGGTGGAGGTTGCAGTGAGCCAAGAGACTGCAGCACTGTGCTCCAACCTGGGTGACAGAGCAAGACTCTGACTCAAAAAAATATATATATATGTATATATATAAAATTATATATATATATATTTATTTACATATATTTATATGTATAAAATAACATTAAATTTAAGTACTGTGTCTTATCTTGAAGTAGTATCTAGTAGACTTTAAATTGTTTTATAGTCATCAGCTTTTCTTCAAAAATCCAGAGGGTTTTTTTTTCTTCCTTTTATTTCCTCTTTTTTCCTGTTATGACAGTAAACTATGGATATGTAAAAAAATAAAAATAAAAAACTTGCTAACCCAGGGATTGAAACACTACACATCGGTTTTTAAATCACCAGTTAATCCAATCTATTCCAAATAGAATATTGATGAAAAATTAATAAAAATAAAAGTGGAAAATGAGGATCTTCTCTTGGTCAAAAAAATTTTTTTTTTTGTTTCCTTAGTGTGACTTAACAGAATTGGGGGAAGCTTTGTATAATAATATTAGGTAAATAAAATTCAAATGGTGAATTCTAATATACAAAATTAAACATTTTAGATACTATGTGAGGCTTCTATTATTTTACCTAACTGTATTCTTTTTTGAAATATATATTTTATTCAAATGTGATTGCCAGTTTCTTCATTATCATTCAGTGTCAAACTGCATGTGGTCAGTGTAAGATGATGTTTTTACTAGTGAGTATTTTTGGGTGGGCACAGTGGATCACGCCCATAATCCTAGCACTTTGGAGGCGAGGCAAGAGGATCACCGGAGATCAGGAGTTCGAGATCTGCCTGGCCAATATGGTGAAACCCCTTCTCTACTAAAAATGCAAAAATTAGCTGGGTGTGGTGATGCACACCTGTAATCCCAGCTGCTCCGGATGCTGAGGCAGGAGATCGATCGCTTGAACTCAGGAGGCGGAGTTTGCAGTGAGCTGAGGTTGCACCACTGCACTCCTGCCTGGGTGACAGAGGGAGTCTCTGTCTGGAAAAAAAAAAAAAAAAGGAATATTCTTATTTGACGTTCCTGCCAGAAATTGATAAAAGGAAATATCTAGGAAAGAAGGTCAATGCAATGAAATTGCCATGCATTTTATTCTACCCTCCCATTGAATATAGAGATGTATGGCTAACAAATAGTTTTATCTCTTTTCCTCTATTTACTTTCTTATAATTGGGTTACTACGGAAACAATAATTTTTCTAAACATGGAAAATAAGAATGAATTCATCGATCAAGTCCCGGTGTTTGATTATTACTATGCTTGCAATCTTCATTTCAGAGAGGCGAACCCAATTTTTCGTGCAAGCTAATATAATAATATCTTGAAGCAAAGAGCTATTTTCATAGCACATTACATAATAGACTAGGTGTGAAATTACTTTTATGGTGAATGGATACCCTGAAGGTTGTTAGCTTTTTATTATGTATAGCATTTTGTACACCAATGCATTAGCATTTCTTCTTGCAGATAAAATTAATATGTTTAAATTAATGACTAACTCTTAAAGTGCACTCAACTTTTCCTACATGCCCACTTAGTCTATCTTTATCTTGTAACAATAACTTAAGAAGAGTTTTGCTCTGGGTTTTAGTCACATACTTACTTTGCATAATTTAAAAAATAAAGTAAAAGAAGAAAAGACTACATTTTCCAAGTGAAATATTGTGAGAAAAACAAATTAGCATATGTAAAATTACATAGTTATAAACATGTTGTGCTTTGAGTCTAGTTAAATTTTTAAAGAATCTAAAGATATATATAAAATTATATGTGATCAACTGTAAAATGAAATGACAGAAAATGAACCAGAAACACCTGTACAAAGGAATTTAGTAGCAAGCAATTGAGGGCCAAGTGTGTTTCTTCTTTCTTCAAACTGAACTATTTATATCGTGCATGGTAATGGTAACCAAAAAGTAACCATTGATTCAAAATTATACATCTCTTATTCTTAGTTATTTTTGAGTTCATAGAATTTTTTTTGTTGCTTGTTTATTTGTTTTTATTCAAAGATTACAACAGAAACTTTGAAAAATGTAAAATTTTTGTTATTTTACAATGGGATTTGTATCAAAGAATTAATGTTATATATAAAATTATAAAGATAACCAATGTAATATCTCCTACTTGATAATTTTGTAAACAACTAGCACATAGTATAGTAATTCGATATTTTTAATTCTAAAATTACTTTTGTATTATACAAAAATGCTATTGTATTCCTAAATTTTATTTTTAAAGCAATTCAATCATAGGAGAAAAAATCAAACTCTGATCGGAAAGAGTTTTGTGAAGTGATTACTTATTGTACCATCATGAATACATATGCTATTTAAAAATATGGCACTAAATTAGACTCAGTTCTTATATCTCCTGAAGACAATTCAAGTAAAATGTCCTGTAAAAAGTCACATAGATAGTTAAGGAAAAAAAGGATTTTCTTAAGCAGATTTTCCAATGTAGTACATAATCTTTACTATCTTTTCAATTACTTTACAGGAGATTTTTAAAAGTTTTGAGCACTCAAAATACATTTTATCTCACCCCAGATAACCAGAGAATTATTCCCATCCATTCTTAGTTATCTCTGTTTTCATTCATTTAAACACATCACTTACTATATCAGTTGGCATCAACTAAAAATTCCACCTAGGAGAACTAACTATTGAATTCTTAATATGCATCAGTCACATCGTAGTTAAATTGTCTATGCATTTTAGATAAATTTTCTAATTTTATCATCAAAAATTAGAAATGGATATTTTATATATATATATATATATATATATATATATATATATATATATACATGAAGCAACTGAGGCTTAGTGAGATTAAGCAACTTGCCAAAAATTGCATGACGGGTATGTGATAGAACAAAGATATGAAAGCTCCTACATATGCCATTGTACAGATCTGATTATAAAGTTAAACTGGAAAGCCCAAGAGAGAAGACAGCATTAAAGGAATAAATTAAAAAGTTACCTAACGGGCAAAAGTAAGATTCCGTGTACTTCTTTGAATGGAATTTTACATCTACTTGAAATAATTTATTTTGTAGAATACTGCACAATGAAAGGATAAGTAGAACAAATAAATATAATATTCACATATTTATAAAAAAGATCAATGTAACACTACACCTATGACCAAATTTTGCTTATACTAGAGCAATGTCAATAACCCTCCAAAGAATAAATTTAATTATTTGTATTTCTATGAAATCTATTTTTGTATACACAATATTCACCAAAATCATATGTCAGAATTATCATGAAATGCTGTAAAATGTCATCATGTGAATAATTTATCTTTATTTTGAAAACGGTGTAAAGATAATATTACTGTCAGTACAAAACCCGATCACTTTTTAATTTACTTTTACGACTTCAAACTGCACCCATCATCAGTGAAATAAGCTACAAAAGTAAGTGACCATTTAAAATTGATAAAGATTATAGAACTTGTTCTCAATCCGTTTTTCTAACTATCAGTGGAATCAGTTAATTTAGCTTTCTTGCAAGCCACAGAAACAAGCTTTGGCCAATTGAAGCTAAAGGAGATTAACTGGAAATGTATGGGAAACATCTTAAGAAAACAATGGGCTCTGACAGAGGACCATTTATCTAAGCAGCAAGGGCTCAGCAAATCCTTCTATTAGTGCATCTGGTAGAACTGATGCTCTCCAGTGGGGGAAGAAAACTTCAAAAATACTGAGCAACATAAGAAACAGGTGTTTCAGAAAATGAAAATGAGTAATATTTAGGAAGGATTAATATAGATATTGATCACGTATAAGTTAGGCAATGAGTCTATTTATCTAACAATAGTTATTTTCAAAATAGTTTTTATACTTAACAACTAGCACAGATAGACTATAATTAGGCATTTCTCATTATACATTTGACAAGGAGAAAATTGGTTTTACAATGAATAACTATGAGGTATATAAAAATATGTCTTTTTAAAAAAAATTTGGAGACACAGGATCTCACTATGTTGCTCAGGCTAGTCACAATAAAAATGTCTTATCAGTTAAAGAGTAAAAATGTGTTAAACGAGTATATCTAGTAAATAATTGTATCTGTTATATCTATGTCAATAAAATCATAATGCATACTGAGATTTTCAATAATATCAAATAATAAATACACTATGTAATACATTGAATTGCAAAGCCATAAACTCTTGAGATCTAGTTTTATTTTTATGAATTGGATGTCATGTATTTTATTATTACATCCATGAGCACACACTGAGAGTAGACCTATTTCTTTCTTATTCTTGTTTTTTATTCTCTAATATATTCTTAATATCCTTATAATTTCCTTCTCTGATGTCATATATTTTGGTAATTAAAATTATATGTGTAATATGTAATACATAATACATAAATTAATGTTATATATTTAATTAAGATGAAATTATATATATCACATCTGTAAGTATTAAATCAACTCACTAATAAGAGAATGTGATCAACTTGAATGGCATATTTAATGAATTGTAGTATAAATTAGATGTAAAGCCCAAAGCTACGTTCTAGGTTTCACTTAAGGTCTTAGGCTGGTGCAAACATAATTACAGTTTTTGCCATTAAAAGTAATGACAAAAACTGCGACTACATTTGCACCAACCTAATAAATCTTCATGAATGTCAAACAAGTATATCAATATAAAATTTAAGTATACTATTCTTTACAATACATTGAAAATTGCAAATCATGTAAGTAAAAATTGTAATGACTTCTAGAGAATAGTTCTAGAGAATAGTTTGAAAGTTCTAGAGGGGCCGGGCGCGATGGCTCATGCCTTTAATCCCAGCACTTTGGGAGGCTGAGGCGGGCAGATCACGATGTCAGGAGATCGAGACCATCCTGGCTAACACCGTGAAACCCCGTCTCTACTAAAACAAAAAATTAGCCGGGCGTGGTGGTGGGCGCCTGTAGTCCCAGCTACTCCGGAGGCTGAGGCAGGAGATTGGCATGAAGCCAGGAGGCGGAGCTTGCAGTGAGCCGAGATCGCTCCACTGCACTCCAGTCTGGGAGACAGAGCAAGACTACGTCTCAATTAAATTAAAAAAATAAAAATAAAAAATAAAAAAGTTCTAGAGAATAGAACTTGCTAGAGAATAGTTGTTTGAAAATAGAGAATAGTTGTTTGAAAATATTTAATTATATTTAGCAAATTTCTATAGAGGTTTATTGTATAAAAACTAAAATAAATTTGAAATTATGTATTATTTCTAGCAGAGGATTTGACAGTAACATATAATGTTTAGGGTATACTACATTTCAGGACTACAGAAATGACAAAATACTTATTTGGAAGTTAACTTCTGAGGGATGACATTTTAAATAATGTCAAGTTCAGTGTCCATTTCATTTATTTAATCATATATTATTAAGGTGACAGATAAGTTCCATATTAATACCATATTTATTTTAACTTCCAGTATTACAAGAGAAACAGAGTGAACAAAATGTAAAGCCTCGATACTAAAACAGAAAAAACAGAACAACTGTCAGCGTTTTTTATTAAATTGAGAATATTTGTCCGAAATTAATATAGTAATTCTGCTTTCTTTATCTGTCATCATTGGCAAATGAGCTATTTCACAAACATGCATTGTCTAGATGATTGCAATTCTCCCAGTAACTAACTGGAGCCTTCACTATAACAATTCTTTTAGAAATCTTCCAAAAACTTATGACACACTTTTCCCACTCATTATATAGTAAAGCAAATGTAATTTAGGTTTTTTCTTGTTGATTTAATCAGTCATTTAAAATGGTATTCGTTTATTAATCAAACATTTACTTAATTCCCGTCCACTCATTCAAAATCTGCAAAATACTGTGGCTGTCATGGTGAATCTCAAACATTAATTGTCTATTGATAGCCATTGAATTAGTAGGTAGTTGAAAGGATTTTGTTTTCTTTCAAAAGCAAGCCCTTTTTTAAAAAGAGGTTTAATTTTTTTCTTCCGATTCCTTCAAGGATCTAGAGAACTGCTCCTAACACTTAACATTAACAAAACCACCGTCTTTTAAATATCTGTCTTGCAATGTCTTTTCCCTGAGTAATGAAGTCCTCCTTTGACCCCAAACATAGGAATCTATTGCAGTTTCCTTGACTGCCTTGATTTTGCAAATACTATTTTATAAAGCTGTCATGGAATGATAATGTTAAAATTAATGTGATGAGTAGGTCTATGTTTCCCTTTTTTGTATTTCTCATTACCTTTGAATTTAGAACTTTCATGTTTTTAAGGAATCTTTTGTTACATTACTTAAATGAGTCATTATTCTTTATCTTCTACCAAATAATGTAAGTAATTTTCCTTTTAAATATTAAATAGGATGAGATAATTAAGCAGTTGGCCTTATGTCACATGTTCTCATGAGCCTTTCTATAATAGAATGACCTGACTCTGCACATTTCTATGACTCTCTTGAAGATAGTGCTGTGGATAAGGGTCAAGTTCAGACAATTGCATGCACCAGACCAAGCTGTGGAGACATTGCTTTGATCTTTGTTTTTGTAATTTTTTTTCCTGAAGTCAACATCCAGTATCTATTTTCTGACTTTCTCCATTATTGAGAGAGTCAGTTCCAGTCGTGATGACAGCTCCATTGTAGGCAGGAACAATGGCAGCATTTTTCTGACTTCGGCTTCCTGAGTGTTATATCTCAACTAAGATATTGTTTGATATCTGTATTTCACTGGTATCTCATGTTACGGAACTGAATGAGTTCTGCCACATGCTGAGAGTAACTCAGGAATGCCTAGCTCAGAGTGAGTTTCTCTAGCTCCCGCTATAGTTTTTTCTAACAATAAAATCACTTTCTGTTTAAAACCACTTTTGTTCCATTTCCTGTGCTAAACCCTGATTAATATTTATGAAATTTCAGATATCTAAGTAATCTGATTAAAATATATGCAGTATTGATGCATGAGCTTTATGGCAACTGGTTTCTTTGTAAACTTAGTAGGTTTATTCTTATTTACTTATATATTTATTTGATTAGAGTTAGTTCATTACTATACTGTAGGGGGATAAAATAAGTAGAATTGCAACTTTAATTCCAAAGTAATAGATACTAAAAATGAAAGAAAACATTGCGGAAGAAATGCTTCGGAAAGAAATAGCTTTTTGGTGCTGATAGTTAGACAAGAGGTAAAGAAGTGAGATTTTGAAATACAAAGTAAAAAATTTCAGAATAAGTGTCAAATCACTAGTACATCTACAGTTCTGAAGTGCTCAGGCCGAGTTCTGCCTGAAAACTGGAAACGCTATTCTAGTAAAAGGGAAAAGAAAATTCATAAACCAAAACCAGAAAAGAAGTTTAGGAAATGAGAAGAACCAAAGAAATACTGTACAACTAAACAGGACGTCTGACGTGTATATAGATTTAAGCCACGCTTAAAAGTATATGTAAGTTTTCTTACCATTATTGCAAAAAAGTAAAAAAGAAAAAAAGGCTCATGAGAACAAATTGATTAGTTTGCAAATTGATTAGCAGTAACGAATTATCTTACTGGAAGCTGAAGGGGACTGGAGTTTATTGAGAAATCTCCTGACTGGGGAAGTCTGAGGCTTCCTGAGAACTTTCCATCTTGAATCGTGAGGATGAAATCACCAAAGTATAGGCAACTTTTGGGTTTTTTGTGTTTGTTTAGTCAGCTTTATAATTCTCTGTAGTAAATGAAAGCAATGTGTTAAGTAGCCTATGACATTTTGTTTCTTTTCATTGTGCCTTTATACACTTAACAGTGAAACAATGGCAAATGTGATGGGTGGGGGAAAATGTAGATATACTCAGAGAGGGCTAAATTTACACATGTTCCAATGTTCAATTTTATATCAAATATTTTTCTCTATTTAATTTTTCTTAGCTTTCTGCTAACTGAAGTTTAACATACAGGCCTTCAGTTAATAAATTTGTATTTCAATATTCTTGTCAGAGACCCAACTCTTGCCATTTTTTTCCCATAATACTTTCAATTAAATGGCATAAATGAGAAAAAGCTTTGTACAATTCATTCTTGGGGAATAATATCTAATACAAGACTCTGAAATCTGTATTCCATGGTTTGCACTGACTCATTGTTTTGCTTATAATTCTTCTAGGTTTCATTTGACTGGGACAGAGCCTTGGTTTGAATTCACAAAGATAACATTGAAAATGTATGCCTGGAAATAAAAGCACAGAGTTTAATTAAACTCATGGATTAGAGATGAGGATGAGGTTATTAAACAAATGTGAATGTGTTACTGAATGTCTCTTTGAATTTGGCTCAATCAGTGAGCTTATTTTCAAAGACGTTTTACCGTAATTGATGATACAGACTTGGAGCAATGTTAGAGATATAATTGAGACAAAATTCAAAGACTCAGAAGCTATAGCCAATCCTGCTGTTCAGAATGAAAGAAAAAAATAAAAGTAACTGTTAGAACTTACATTTAAAAGAGGGCTACGTTGCCTGTACAGAAAGAAGAGCATTTCCATTTTGCTCAAAGTTACATATTAGTATGCAAAAAAGCTGAGGGGTAAGGTTTAATTTCAATGTCTTGAGATTTATCCATAGATGAGGTGTAGATTGTGGAATATTGCCAGAAATTAAAGGAATATGAAGGATCCACATATAAAGCAGATAACCAAACACAGATTATTACTGATGTTTATGCAGTTACACAGTAGAAGATATAGAAAATTACAGAGTAGTTATAAACAAGGTAAATAAAACATATTATCCTACCCAAACATTTTTGTGCATGTTACTAAACAATTTGATATCTATATTTTTCCTGTGGGGAAACATTTTCACAAAGCTTTTATAAATATTTGAATATTCATTAGAATTTAAATTATAAAACAACAGGTTAATCAAATTAAAAATATTTAGCAAAGGCTCTACATTCAAAAAATAGTATTTTGTAGAAGTACTACATTTGCATTATCCAACATTAATGCGATAAACCTTATAAACTGTACTTCAGTAGAGACTATTATGACCCACTTTTGTGATAATCAACTGGTTTTCAGAAACTGTGCATATTATTTTCCTTATATGTCCTAGAGTTGCAAATATTCTGAATATCCTCAAAATTCATCTGCTGATACTCTCTAGTCCCATACTATCTAAGAACATGAGTAACCCTAAGGAACATACAACCCAAATCTAGTGGCATATACACAAACATGTAATGGTTGACTCTAGGAATTACTAGATTAATTCAAGTTTAGGCTAAGATATGCTAGCCTTGTCACATGGAAATTCAAAATATGCTTAAATCATTATTGTAGTTTTAAAAATCAGTACTATTTTACCTATTAATTTAGAGTTTTCCAAAAAGAGTTAGATTTTCTAGGAAATCTGCTTATACTTTTTTTTTTTTTTAAAGTAGTGGTAGATTGACTCATATCTACCTTCATTTAGAGGATTTGTATTTCATCATTTAATTGGTTAGAGAGAATACAAATTTAGCAATTAAAACATGTATGGCAAATATATATTGACCTGGATGTATAAATAAGTAAATCAATCCTTTAAATAAAGTTTTTATTTTTCTGCCTCTCTCACAATTAAAAGGATAGAAACGCTAACAAATTATGTCCGGATTGGTAAATTTTACATGTACTCAGACATGTTTTAGGCTATAACATATTCTCTCAGTGAATAATACTGTGTGGTAAATATGAGGTCTAGAAGATAAATGTCCATTCTTTGTCATCAATTAAGTTAAGGGGTGTGTATGTTTTTGCATGTGTCCATTCAACATGAATTAGCTCCATGACTCTTCTATGCTAAGCACCATTTCTTCCATTAAGGAACTTATAGTTTAGTAAAAAATGGCAAATTAAAAAAAGGCAATTTTATGTGAGTATGATAAAAACTATTAATATATGAGTGGAAACAGAGGAAATATTAGAAAACATAAGGGCAGGAAAATTTGACTGGAGCAATAATTGCTATGTTGAACACTCGACAGTTAAGTACCCAGGTGAAGGATGCTAGAGAGGCATTTTTGAAAATCAGTGGCTTTTAGAAAACCTTTACCAAGAAAATTTTTAATGAATACAAACTGACAGCAACTTTATTGAATAAAAAAGGCAAAAAAGACAGTTTTCTTATACCAGTAAGCTATTAGTTTTTTACATGTGTTTTTCCCCATATATTCATTAGATACTTATTTTAACTTCTACTAGTTAACATGCTAGGCTAAGTTTCTTGCTTTGTTTAGCGACGCATTTTTAAGGTTTGCATTTTGTCTCATAGCTTAGGAGCATCACTACAAGAGTAGGAAATGAACTATTCTGAAAGTCACATTTTTTTCGTTTCTTTCATGTTGTTGGGTCAAATAAGCAGAATTAAGCTTTATTATAGTTGCAGTTGTATTAATGTTATTGTTCTGACATGTTATTGGCTTGATGCGCATGATATTCAGTATTACATTTGGACGTTTTACATTTTACTCTCTGGTGTAAGCATTTTCAACTTTTTTTATTTTTTGGGTTTCTTTGTTTTACATAATTTAATCTTTGCACGTAACTATTGTATTTTATAATTTGTCATTCAAACCAGTACATTTTGGAGAGAAAAAAAAAAGGTAGCATTAATAATTACACTGTGGTGACCTGTGTAAGGAAAACTATACCATGGTACATTCCAACTATAACCAATACTTGATTTGAAATATATAATGTTCACCTTATATAGTCAAAATCATCGCTTAAAGAAGGTCTAGTTATAATGTTAGATAATTGAATGGTTGGTTTCAAATTTCAATTGGTCAAAGTAAATTTTATTTTTAATTCCATAAAGGAGGCTCTGAAATCAGAAAGAGAAACTTGTATAGTTAAACCTAATTACTATGGCCTATTAATATGAACATGGTAAAGCTAAAGCTGCTAGTGTTTATTTGGCCTCCACAGAATGTTTCTTATACAGACTGCTATTTGAATTTCAGCTCCACTACTGCTTTGCCATGTGCCCTTGAGAAAGCTCTTAGACTCTGTGACACTGAACTTCATTATTAATAAAACAAGGATATCAGAGGCTGTCATATTGTTTCCATGAAGATTTAATAAAATATTATGAAATATAAAATAATTTTCATGATACTGAGAGGTGAAGCCGACTCTCTGTAAAATGGACCAATCAGCTCTCTGTAAAACGGACAAATCAGCTCTTTGTAAAATGGACCAATCAGCTCTCTGTAAAATGGACCAATCAGCAGGATGTGGGTGGGGCCAGATAAGGGAATAAAAGGCCACCCGCGCCAGCAGCGGCAACGCGCTGGGGTCCCATTCCGTGTTGTGGGGGTTTTTTTCTTTAGCTCTTCGCAATAAATCTTGCTGCTGCTCACTCTTTGGGTCCACGCCCCTTTATGAGCTGTAACACTCACCGCGAAGGTCTGCAGCTTCACTCCTGAAGTCAGCAAGACCACAAACCCACCAGGAGGAATGACCAACTCCGGACGGCCACCTTTATGAACTGTAACACTCACCGCGAAGGTCTGCAGCTTCACTCCTGAAGTCAGGGAGACCACGAACCCACTAGGAGGAAGAAACTCGGGACTCGCCCGAACATCGGAAGGAACAAACTCCAGACACACCATCTTTTAAGAACTGTAACACTCACTGCGAGAGTTTGCGGCTTCATTCTTGAAGTCAGCGAGATCAAGAACCCACCAATTCCGGACACAATACCTTACAGACTCTGAATGTTCAGTATTACTTTATTTCCTTCCAATCATAAATGTTAAACTGATAGAGATTTCAAGTTCTATATGTTGATAAGTTGCATAAGATAATTTCGGCTTTATGTTTTGACATTATTTTCATGTAGGTATTTTATAGATTAGCATAAAATATTACGTATTTTTATAATTTGAAAAGATATTGAAAACTGTGTTTTACTTTTTCTGGCTTTTATTTTTATTCTTGAACACCATGGTCAATTGCTTTTTTACTTTCATTTCTCAACTTGTTTGGACAAATTTTGCAAAGATATTCTTACCCTTGGCCTCTCCCGACAAATTCCTCTCATAAGTAAATATTATCTTGAGAATGTGTGGACTCTTATGTAGAAAAAGAACAACATAAACTCAATGTTTATTAAAAAACGTGAGATTACAAATGACTTTTTTAAAAAGGGAATCAAATTTCATTTCAGGAAACTTACTAGAAAAAAATTCTTATGAACACCTAAACTAGTGTAAGTGTGTTATTCTGTGAAAACAGTAATTCCTTATTTCAAAAATAGTTTCTAATAAAAGAACCTGGATTATATAGCTACTCAAGTTGAACAGATGATCACAAAGAACCTTAACTGTAACCATATTTAGCTATCAAAAATAGAAAGGAAATTTTGGTTATAGTTCTCTGTCCCACATTTAATTTAAAAGAATAATGGCTATTTGTTATCAAAGTATTTTAATACATTTCTTATGTCTGCCCATCTAAAATGAAAACTTTTATTTCCATAAAGTTTTGTATAACATGTCTTAAATGAATGTGCAGTCATAACTGCATTCGGTTACTAAAGGAACTAATAATTCATAAATTGCATTTATTTGTATGTTACTAACATTAAAAAGAGATGTTTTGTCATGTTTATAATGATCGTCATGTATATAATGATATATGTTTATAATGATGACATCATCGTCATTGTAAGATTAGCTAAACTCTTTGTCCTTCAGTATAAAAATTAAAGCCAGTATATTATTTTTTGCATTGTGTCTATATTGCTTTTCTCTGAAGTGTTTAAAGAATGTTTCATGAATATTTATTACTGTTAAACAGAGAAATCTTTTCATTGTTTTCATTTTTTGGATCGTATAGCTATTTTATGCTCCTGAATTATACTCATTGGATCACTCTTTCATCTTTCCTTGTTAGGTACATTCTCCAAACGCCTTATTTATCTGGTGATGTTATGCAGTTGAACTATTCACTGGGAAAATAAATTTTATGCTACTTTATCTCATATAGGTTTGTCTCATCGTCCTGATCTCAGCAATTTAGCTAGTACTTTGTTTCTCTTTCCTTAGGGACAGCTGCTTTTCAGGGCCAGAGACAAAATTTCCTAGAAACCAGAGGCCGGTTCTCCAATTAGTTTTTATTTTTGATTGGGTAAACCTGAGGTGATTTAAGAAGTATGGTGGACTAAAAATGGTGACAGATTTATGGCAATGCTTAGGTGTGAAAAGGAGAATTAATCCTGAGAGGAGGAAGTCTGGGGAATTTCTTTTAAGACTGCAAGGTAGATAGGATTTTGCAGATCTTGCATAAAAATGTCCATAAACTTTCACATTCGTGAAAGAACCAAAGACTTGGCAGGATCTTCATGGAGAACAGCTATTATGTGCACACAAGGAAACCGACACACGTTTGGTCTGTCAAATAAGGCCAGTACTCTTATATGTAAGTCTAGAATTAAACCTCAAAGCTACCTATACACTTTCAGAGGATCAGCCCTCAGAAGGGCACCACGCTTGATTGAAAGCTGTCATGTTATCCTGAATTCTTAATAATTTTATATTTGACCTTGTGTTTTGTGAATGAAGTCTATGGAGCATGTTTCTTGCAACCCCATTCACATACAGCATTTGTGATGCCCCATGAACACAGATTTCCTATGGACTCATGAATGTGGGAGTTCAAGTAAGGCTCAAAATGAGTTTAAGATAAACTGCTGTGTTTACAACAGCAAATGTGGTATTGACAGCTTTTAGAGATCACATTTTTTTTTTCAAATTAGAAATTTCTTTAAACATAGAAAGAAGTCAGTAGTGTTCTATGAAACAACCAGGAAACCTGCTCACATGCTTTTAAAACTATGCAATGTTTGGTATTAGTGAACCTCTTAAGCTGAAAATGAAGAAGGAAAGAAGAAAGATCTAGTTTTTTTTTTTTTTTAAGTTTCACTCATTCTTTATTCTTCAGTAACAGAGCATAGAAATGGTAGGTAGAATTTACATGTCTCAAGAAGTGAAATATAAACAGTTTAGTTAGTTTTGTGCAGTGTTTTTATTCTTCTGGTCAGAACAAAATACATATGGATGCACTGGCTCTGAAATATAAATTGTATAATTTCAGTGATTCAACATATGAGTTAAATGCTCTCATATTTGCATTTAAAACTGGCATTTCACTATACATATAAAGATAAACGGTAAAATTCAGGATGAAAATTTAAAATTTTAATTTTTCTTTTCTTAGAACATTAAATAGCAAATTTAAAAAAAAAACACCATAAGAAGTTAAGAAAAAGATAGTGGGAAGAAAAAGTTTCATTTTTAGTACTTTTACAATATAGTTTCCTGCATTTTGAACAAAGAGTTCTACACTTTTATTTGCACTGGATACAGTAAACTATGTAGCTTGACATGCCATGACAATAACCATAGCACTAATAGCATTAAAATCAGTACACTAAACATCAGGAAACATTTCTTATAAATTGAGAAATATGTAAGTTCCTCAATAACCGACACAAGGCACTGTGGTGGGAAGCGTTTAACACTGCTTGCAGAAATTTAATTTCCTCCTAACTAGGTGTGACTGGATCTCAAGGCAGGTTTCATTTAACGTTGTGGAGAAATATTTGTTCTAAGCACCTGTGGTTTTATGTACTTTCCCCAGCAGCCTTTAAGCTCCTTGAATGCTAAAATTATATTTCACGCAACTTAAACTATATTCAAACCACGTCAGTGCTCCAGGCAAATGCCCTCAGAGCTCTTTTCTATTTGTGCTTAGGTGCTAGCTCTCAGCATGTTTTCATTACCAACCATCGGTTAAAGGATGCTTTGTCTGTGCTTGTGAATAAGTGGAGTATCCAGGAATATATTTCTTCAATGGGTAGAATGTAACCAATGACTGAGAGGTGGGGAGCTGTTAACACTCTGCTTCCTTTGCAACTGATTGAAATAATTTCAGATATTACCCAAATTGCCTTCAGAGATTCCCTGTGGAATTGAGACAAAGTCATTCTCTTTGTGGTGTTTGATCTCCCACACTTGCTTGACTGTTTTCTTTGTCCTTTCCACTTTCCCATTACCTTACTGGTTCCTTCTAGAAAGCAGCCTCATAAATTTCCTTTAAGCAAAATCTTGTCTCAGAGGCTGCTTAAGAGGAAACCCAATCAAACTAAGGCACTAAAAGAAATTAAAATATTTAATGAGAATAACAGGCAACTTGTTTGTTGAATTCAATTGAGAATTGTGTATACAAAGGTAGAATTTCTTATGTAATTAAATAGTCCATTACTGTAAGTTTTCTTGATAATACCCATGAACACCATGACATCTAAGCATTTAAGTATCTCATTTTGTCAGGGTTCATTGTGAAGACTCTGGCTGCATTAAAAAACAAAATAGGTCTCATTTTGAATTCCATATCCCATTGCTTACCCTTACTTCATGTTCATGTTGTAACTGAATATTAGTGAGATTTTTATATAATTATGAATAAAATGTAGGCTTATATTGATCCAAAAGCTTAATATATTTACTCGTATTTAGCCATAAATAGAATAATTTTACATTTTCTTCTACTTCAATGGTTTTTCCCTTTAAAAACGTTTATTCCATATAGCATGAGTTTGCGATATATTTGAAGAAAAAAACAGGTATTGAGATTAGCAAGCCTGTGAGCATCATATGTCAGAAAATAAATGCAGTCATGAATGAGGAAATAAAATGATCACAATTAATGGAAATTATTTTAAAAATCAGTAGTATCAATAAAGTTGACTCAGGAGTTTTATTCAAGTGAAGTACACCAACCATTTCAAACAGTTTTATTTTAAGAAACTCTAGCACTTAGAGACTGAATATGAGTCAAATAATGAAGGTATTTTTCAGAAATCCAAGTTGTGAACCCTAAGTAATCTATGTTAATTTTAAAGAATATTTGTTTTTATCATAGGTCATTCTAAAAGAATAAAAGCGAGATGTTTTGCCACCTTTACATAGCATTCATTCTTCTCACTTTTCTGCCATCAAGTAAGTCACTGTTGAGTGTTTTGCATGAGTGTTTGTGTGTGTATATTACATATAATATAATACATATTATATATACATGATATATATGGCATATATTATGTTATATATATTTATGAAAGGGGAGAAACTGAAGAATTGAGAGCACACACAAGGAACAGTTTCGAAAAGTCATGAAGAATCTCCACTTGTATAAGTGAGTTTCTCCATATTCTCCTAAGTCAAAGAGACAGGAAGATACAATGTTGTCACATAAATACTCAACATCACTAATCATCAGAGAAATGCAAATCAAAACCACAATGAGATACCATCTCACACCAGTCAGAATGGCTGTTATTATAAATTTTAAAAACAATGGATGCTAACTAGGCTGCGGAGAAAGGAAATGCTATACACTGCTGGTACGAATGTAAACTATGTCAGCCAGTATGGAAAGCAGCACTTTGAAGACTTCGTAAAAAACTTAAAACAGAATTACCATTCAACCCAACAATCTCATTACCTGGTATATACCCCCCAAAAAAACAAAATATTCTATCAAGAAGACACATGCACTCTTGTGTTCATTACAACTCTATTCACAATAGCAAAGACATGGAATCAAGCTAGGTGCCCATCAATGATGGATTGGATAAAGAAAATGCGGCACATATGCACCAGGGAATACTGTATATGCAGCCCTAAAAAAGAACAAAATCATGTCCTTTGCAGCAACATGGATGCAGCTGAAGACCATTATCTTGGGAGAATTAAAGCGGGAACAGAAATACTGCATGTTTTCACTTATAAGTGGGAACTAAACTTTGGGTACTCACGGACATAAAGATGGCAGTGATAGAAACTGGGGACTACCGGAGTTGGGGAGGGAGGATGAGGGGGAAGTGTTGAACAACTAACTAAAGGGTACTATGCTCAGTTCCTCAGTAACAAAATTATTCATACCCCAAACCTCAGCATCACACAATATACCCAGGTAACAAATCTACATATGTACCTCCTGATTCTAAAATAAATGTTGATAAATAAATTACATGACCCTACTGAAAATAAATAACTAAATGCTCCTCATAAAGCATTTTCAGGATAAAGTATTTTGGGACATTATAATCACTCATTCTGCCAACGTATCTATTCTGATATAGATTTATTTTAAGAGCAACATGAGGTCATGGATCTTTTTTTCTATGTTAATCTTCAAGTTTAGCCAAGTGTCTAAATTATTGCTTTTCTTAATGAATTAAGAACGATTTGGCCTTTGTTTGAATTTTGGAGTCATCCCAGTGACATTTGAAGATATAATAGCTAATAATTTTACTAATTTACTCATTAAACACATTTTTATTATACATCCAATATGTTCCAGAAACATATTCTATTGCTGTAATAAAAAAATAACTAATTCTCCTAAATAATGAGAAATGAAAGGAAATTTCACACATAGTGTGATTAATGAAGGGCTATGCAATTCTCCCTAATCCCCCAAATTTCTTACTAATTCATAATGGAACCTAATTACATTTTATACCCTTTGCTCTAAGTCTTCACAATTTTTAAAAGTAGTCACTTTACTATAAATCCTTTAAAAAATAAAATATAAAGCATACATCAATTAATAAAATGCACCACTAATTTAGAACTAGAAGGTGGAAAAGTTTACCAGGAGATAAGTGGGATTAAAAGGGAGGCAATAGGGCCAGGCGCAGTGGCCCACTCCTGTAATCCCAGCACTTTGGGAGGCTGAAGTGAGTGGATCACCTGAGGTCGGGAGTTCGAAACCAGCCTGACAAACATAGTGAAACCCTGTCTCCACTAAAAATACAAAAAATTAGCTGGCCATGGTGGCGGGTGCCTGTAATCCCAGCCACTCGTGAGGCTGAGGCAGGAGAATCCCTTGAACCCAGGAGGCGGAAGTTGCATTGAGCCGAGATGATATCATTGTACTCCAGCCTGGGCAACAAGAGTGAAATTCCTTTTCAAAAAAAAAAAAAAAAAAAAAAAAAAAGAAAAAGGGAGGCAATAGGTCACAAAGGTAAACTTTAGAAACTTGCCATTTGGCCTTTGAGCATTTCTTTTAGAAGATGACTAAGTGTGTGGTTGTGTGTTCATGTATATGTAAGGTGAGATAACTTCATTCAACCCTAGCTTAAAATATATATTTTATAAATGTAACTTTTGTTGATGCCAGTCCTTATTTGATCATTTACTGATGTGAAAATTAGAATTCGAGAATATTAATCTTAATATTAAATCACATATACTATCTTGTCCATATATACCTTAATGTTTTTACCAATCTGTGAAGCATATCTTACAGTTCTCTGATAAATAATATGACTAGTAAACAAGTAAAAGCATACAGAAAGGTGACCTTTAAGAGCCTTCAACAGCTTTAATTCAGTGGCAGTACAATTTATTTAACCTTTTGGAAAGCACTCAGTTTTGACAATGATTTTACTTTTCAAAGTTATACAATCATGTTAGAAAATGTACTTTATATTTATTCATAACCTTTTCTATATAGTGCCAGTTATTAAGTAGCATAGCTTATTTAAATTTCTGGTAGAAATTAAAGTTTATGTACAGACTATTTGCTTAAATTATATATGCATTTATATTGCCTGATTATTGTATTTCTGTTATATATGTGTGTATACACACACAGCACATTTATGTATACAGATTCATGACTATATATTTATATATAAATATAGATATATAGATATATATCTTTTTCACCCTCTCAGACTGTAGACTCCTCAAGGTCAAAGACATGTCTTGTTTATAAGTTTAACTCCAAAACCTAGCACAATACCTAGTTTATTGAGTTTAAGAACTCAATAAATGTTCATAGAATGAGTAAAATTTGAGATAGGCCATAGCAATTATCTTATATGTTCTTATATAAACAGTAATAAAAGCAGCAACTTGAAGTGATTTAGGATGAGAAAAACAAAAGTTTTAAAACTCCACAGTAAAAAACTTGACAGCAATGAACATCAGGTTTTAAAAAACAATGACACATCTGGAATATTACTCTGGTATCTCTATATAGGACATATTGTATCTCAAAGTAGCAATATAAATTTCATTGCTGCGTGTATATGTGTATAGTATTTATATAGCTCAAAAAACTCTCATATTAGTTATGTCATTGACCTATGACTGGCAATTTGGTAGATGTTAAGATATTTCTAAATTTGAATAAAATTTACAAAATAATCAGGATATTACAGAAATTTGTGTAAATGCTTTATCTATAACTTTCAACAGTTACTTTGATGTGTTGGATGATCCCTTTTTGGCTTTTTTCCTAGTATTTAATGTAATTTTTAGTAGATTTCAGAAATAGTGGAAATGTGGCTTGTTGTATCTTCCCCATAACTCTCTCTAAATGATAATATACATTTTAGATTATTAAAATATTACATTAAATATCTTTGTTAAAATAATTGCATTTTACTGGACGTTTTGCTTTTCTCCCAAGAACTATTATAAGCAGTAGGGATGACTGAACTTTTTTATATGCTTAGATGACCTTTCTTGCTGTTTGTTTCTCAGATTATACTTTTAGGTTATCATTAATTGTGTTTGAACGTCTTCACTATTTGGAAAACATTGACTATTGATTTTTTAATGCAGAAAATTGATATTGCATTCATGAGGAGGGGAAAAGAAAGATGGATCTACAGTGTACAGACTCTTTAAAAAAATGTTCCATGGTTGCCCCCTGAATACCACAGGGTAATTAAAATCAGTACTTTACAATAGTGTGCTATTCTCTTTCTTTATTATTCTAACTGAACTTTTTTAAAGCACAAATATCATCAGCTTTTAAAATTATTCCAAAACATACAGAAAAAATCCTACTGCTAACATTATTCTTAATATTTAAAATACCATTACAGTTATCAACTGAACACTTTTTGTTACATTTGCTACTTTAAAAAAAATATAAATCTAAAAAGAGTAATTTTAAAATAATGCACTTGGAAATTACTGCAGAATATGATATTAGAGAAGTAAAATGCTTTTAAATACAGAAAGTATATAATCATTATATATCACTCCTACCCTTTTCTGCTCCATACTGGGCAGATGTTCTAGGTTAACCTTTCCTCCATCATCACCCAGTGATCACCTGGTATTTGAAATGTTCATTGGACTTAATCAGACTTAGTCATTATCTCCCTAGACTTCAAATAGCTTTTTTAAAAATTCCTCTTGGGTTTAGGTGTGCTATATCTAAACAGTGTTATTGTAGGTAAGATTTTGCTTAACCTTTGAGAAGAATTATGTCCAAAATTTTCATTCATTTATCTCACAATATAGCAGCCATTTTTTCCTCAATTAACTCTTATCTCTCCCAAAGTCATATTGTCACAATAATTATACAATTTACATGGGGTTTCTAAAATCAAGGAAAAGAAACTCAGTGTCAGATCAAATCTTGACTCTTCTTATGTCTTGTTATTTCTCTTGTTTTCCAAAGGGTGAGCCTATAAGGATTTAAGAGGCAGACACTGATGATGGGTTGGACTATAAAATTAGAGATGGAAAATTAAGTGGATCAAAAGCTCCAGGCCGGGCTCCGTGGCTCACACTTGTAATCGCAGCACTTTGGGAGGCCAAGGCGGGTGGATCACGAGGTCAGGAGATCGAGACCATCCTGGCTAACACAGTGAAACCCCGTCTCTACTAAAAATACAAAAAATTAGCCGGGCGTGGTGGCTGGCGCCTGTAGTCCCAGCTATTTGGGAGGATGAGGTAGGAGAATGGTGTGAACCTGGGAGGGTGAGCTTGCAGTGAGCCGAGATGGCGTGACTGCACTCCAGACTCAGCGACAAAGTGAGACTCCATCAAAAAAAAAAAAAGCACCAAAGTAAATTCTTTCATCACATGCAAATACACACACACACATGCACAAACACCTGCATTCACCGGCACATGCACACATAACTGGAATGTGCAAAGAGCAGGCATGTACAAGAATATGATTTCATAAGGAATTCCCATCAGCATTTACAATGAGAAAGCCAGGAGCCCAAAACCAGTATTATTACTTCCAAATTCTAATTATTTTAAACTATACAATGATACTTATTCCCAAAATTACATCTTAATTTTATGAACACAAAATGATGCGTTAAAAAATCTGTTTTGTTTATTACACAAGTTTACCCTTGATTTGATCAGAACACTGAAATAATTTCAGAAGTAATTTCCATAGTGATCATTAAACAATATGAAAATGAAGTTATTGCATCTCATATTTTTTGTCTTTATTCAATTATAATTTATTTCATCATATCTTTGCATGTTAAGTAATTACTGATCAAGAGCCTGCTAAGTACCAAGAGTTGTATGCTAAATCTGTGCATGCAATGACAAAAAATGTGTAGCCTTTCTTACAGTGTAGTGGAAGATACACACATACATACAGGCACAGAGAAAGAGACATGTTTATTAAACAAAACATGCAACACATACGTAAATACACTTAAATGCCTGTACACAAATACAATTAGGTGGACTACACCATGGAACCCAAGAAAGGACATTGTGAAAATGCTATATTTAAGCTGAGAATAAAAAAAAATAAGTGGAACTCAGTCAGACACATATTTAAAAGTTGGGGAGAGAGCTAGTCTACTTGCTATCTCAACAAAAATGTAAAATTATAATACAAGTTTCAAGAGCTGGAAACCATTTCAGGCAACTATAGTGATCTCTTTCCAAATGAATGAAGACATTATTAAAGAAAATAGTGCTCATAAATGCTGTCAGAATAACATTAGAAACCTTAGCTTTATGTCAAGTATAAATCAATCCTTTCAACACTTATATCTTTCAAAAATCTCCAAGGCAACAAAAATCCATCAAAAGTAATAGTGCCAGTGAATGCCTGGAGGGCAGCCATCTTATTTTGTAGGTCCAAATAGGAAACTGCAAGTGTGCAAGAGAAGTCTAACTTACTCAGCATTGACAAAATGAGACCGATAAAAGCTGTGCATCTTCATGCTCTATTTCAGATGACTAAATTTCTCTGGCTTTAAGCTCTTAGTAGGTTTAACCAGATGTGTCACTGTTCTCATGGCCTGTTGTTTCTGGCATACATTTTATTGCTGCGCCAGATGTTCAGTTTCGCTGGCTGTGCCCATCATACACATCTTGTGTCTCAAAACTCTGAGTTATTTCTTACCGAGGATTACAATTTATTTGTTTATTTGAATCTGAGGCAGTTAATCTATTTGCTTAAGAAATATATAAACATTATTTGTGAATAGAAGAGAGTGTTAGAAGATGAAAGAGATGGAATTATATAAACAAGTTGTAATAAATAAATACTAGTCCACAATCATAAAATGTTAGTGCTGGAGAAAATTTAGAGATGCTCTGATCGAAATATTCTTACATAAATATAAATAAGCATTTCATGCCAGATTAGCCAAGATGTTAGACAGTAGAGATAAGATTAAACTAAGGTTTCTTAAGAGGTAGTTTTGAAGAATTTGCACCATACTGCAGCAACTGTCTCACTCAGGAGTCAGCAAAATATGGCCCATGGAGCCAAAGCCAGTCGGCTGCCTGTGTTTAAATGTGCAGTTTTATTGGAGCACAGCCATGCCTATTTATGCTCATTCCTTTACCTATTTTCTATGGTTCCTTTCCAATGCCACTTTGAGCACTAGTGACAGAAACTGTACAGGCTGCAAAGCCTAATACATGTACTATTAGTCCTTTGGAGAAAAAGTTTGCTGACCCCTGTTCTAACTCATAATTATTTATAATCCTATAAATAATTGTGCCAATTTCAACTTCTGAAAGAGTTTGAAATATGTTGTGGTCATAGTAATTATTTTGGATTTGGAAGATTATCATAAAATCACAAATTGTTGTGGCTGAAAAGGGCCATATAGGACATTCAGTTCAATTCTCAGTTGATGAAATGTGTCTTTTATTCTGTGTCTGACAGATGCCCATTTAGGCTTTGCTTGAATAATTCTGCTGAAGGGAACTAGAATACTTCCTGTAGCAGGGTATCACACGGATGGATGACACTACTAGTTGGAATAAAACTTTTACGTTTTGAAATATCTCTGATTTTTAATCCTTACTGATTATATAGTCCAATCTGCACAGACATCAGAAGGCAAATAGACAACCTCTACATGCTAGACCTTCAAGTGATTTAACTTTCTAACGTGGCAAATTGCACCAATCTTCCTACTTTCTGGATAAACATATGCCATGTATTCTCACTCTCAAACCACTAACCATCCTCTTTATTGTTCCCTGGATGCTGTCTTAATTTGTAAGCTTTGTACTTTAAATGTGGCACCCAGAATTGTAAAAATATATAAATTTAAAAAGTTCTGTGCAATGTATACACTTTCATTAATACTGGACAGATTACATAATGTCTCTATATTATGGTGATAACAACATTGTAACATAGCAGTACTGTAAAAATAAAGTGAGTTACTATCTTATGGGTTCAGTACACTGGAGAAACAGATTATATTCAGCAAATATTAGTTTTTTTCCCCAGGGTTTTCCTTTCTTTATAGGAATTTATTTGCATATAAAAAATAATTAGGACATATGTCTTGCTCCAACATAGCTCATACTTTATTAGAGAAGATTGACACCTAACCAAATAATTGCAATGCAACTAAGTAAGTTCTCATTTATAATGTCCTAGATAACATAGGAAATAAATTTCAAACATGTGAATAACTCACAAGAGATTTATAAAATGATTTAGTTTTAACAGCCTATTATATTTTACTTTCCCCAACTAGGTAGCTAAATATTCATTTTGCAAAATATTTTAGATAAAAATCAGTTTTTAATGTCATGTTCAACACATCTTTTGTTGCCTCTGGAACCTAATGAAAATTATATATTATAATCATTTGTTTGATGACAGCATAAGCACAGCTTAAGACATAGAATGGCTTTCTTATGTGGCTTCCAGCAGTTTATGAACACATTTCTACAATAATTAAAGACCTTTTAAAGTGATTATATCTCTTTCAGATTATAGTTATTCTTTAGACAAGTAGAATTATTTGCTAAGTATCCAGTATCTTCAAAAAGCTAATGAATTTTTAAAATGTATTAGACATACTTTAAGAGTTTTGTTGTGCAGTGAAGGAGACTGCCCCAATGGCAAATCACTTTATTGTTATTTAACAATTAACATTTCTTCACTTCAGTTGTTTTTTTCTTTTAGATTTTTAACAGTTTTGGATAATTAAAAACTACACTAAAGACTACATGTGTAGGTAAGATCTAATCTGTTCACTGAGTTCTGTTTTTTTTTTTTTAACCAATTGTGTTCAGCAAACAGAGAAAGCGCTTAGGAAGAAAGGTGAGTGATCATAGCAAGTAGCTGGTGATTTCCAATTTTCTTTAAAAAAATGCTGATTATTTTGTGTATGAAACAATACCTTACCAAGTCGCTGCATCATTTAAATTTATCTTTAGAAATTTAGACAATTATCACTATGGCATAGACATTTCCTTAATTCAAATAGTAATATTGGTTAAGAGTGTAGAAAAAATAGAACCCTGTAAGTTATTGTTATGTCACAAAAATAGCATGTAGAATCAAAAATCAATTGTATAATTTTGGGGATTTTTTTTTTTTGCAAAAGTACTACTCTTATTTTAAGAATTATATCAAGTTCTATATGATAAGAAAGAGGTTAAACTAAAATGGTTGGATAAATATGCTAGGCAGCACTTATCTCTAGTGGTCCAAAACTGTGTTTCTAAATGTACAGGTTGTATGTAAGAAAGACAATGCTATTATTTTCTAGAAGGTGTTAGGCACTAGGATTTAATGTATATTAAAGAAAGGATTATAACAGAAATGACAATGTTTGTTCTTTGTGTAATCAATTCAGTGAAGTTACAAGACAGGAAAATTACTTTAAAGAACATTTACCCTTACTGCATGTGGTGATTGCAGATGACCAGTGGGCACTATCAAATTAGAGTATTAGTTGAAGAGAAACTTTTTGAATTTCTAGCCTCACTATTAAGTGAATTTCTCTTCATTCCATCTCTCTTGCATTGAGAGAAACTTGCCATTGAAACAGTAAAATTAGTTTGCTCCTCTGAAATTTCAGGAAAAAAAAAGACAATTTTGAAATGTGGAATTTCTAAGACAGTAAAGAATGTGGTTGCTTCAAAAGCTGAACACAAAAGATTCTAAGGATTGTGGAGGTAGGAGTTTGATGTACTGAATACAATGAACTGTTAATTAGTATTTACCTTACTCCTGTGTCCCTGTGTTCCCAGAGGGCTTATGGAAGACAGTCAAATGGTGATAATAGTAATTCTGTAAGAATTACTATTCTTACATTCTTACAAAGACAGCATTTGGGCTTACAATATTTTTGTTTAAATAATTAAAATTATAGTCTTATTTTTGTGGGTTTTTTGTATGTATTATAGTTAAACATCTACATGCTCTTGTAAAATTAGCAGATATATTAATGAATAAATAAGTGGAAACAAGGATATGAATTAATTAATTAATGTTCAATAAGTAAATCAACCGTTTTCTTAAATTTCATTCTATCAGCAGAGAAATTTGTTAGGAAAATTTTAGTCACAATCTAGATAACATATGTTTATGTTGAGGTGTACAAATATATTTTCAAGTGCCATTTTTTCTGGATCTCAAAATTGAACAAAAGAAGCCGAAAATGTACATTCATTAATTTATCTGATAACCAAATGATGTCTTCATTTTGGAAACATTATAGTGAGGAGAAATTGATTTATCCTCTAGAATAATTGAACACGTTCCCTAGAAATGGGAGCAGATTTAAAGTCACAATTATAATTTTTTTCTGTCCTAATCTTTTTAATATGGAACAGTTTATACATCTTTGCTATGCACAAGATTCCCTGAAGGATATGTTAAAAATATAGTTTCACATCCATACAAAAGAGTTGGATTGCATAGGTGCAGGAATTTGTAACTTGTATTACATTGCCTTCCTTTAATTTTCTGTATTAACTGGATATATGCTGCCTTTTTTTTTCTTTTTTCTTTTCTTTTCTTTTTTTTTTTTTTTTTTTTTTTTTTGAGGCAGTCTCACTCTGTTGCCCAGGCTGGAGTGCACTGGTGCGATCTCAGCTCACTGTAACCTCCACCCCTCCCAGGTTCAAACGATTGTCCTGCCTCAGCCTCCCAAGTAGCTGGGACTACAGACACATGCCACCACACCTGGCTAATTTTTTATATTTTTAGTAGAGACGGGGTTTCACCGAATTAGCCAGGATGGTCTTGGTCTCCTGACCTCGTGATCTCCCTGCCTCAGCCTCCCAAAGTGCTGGGATTACAGGTGTGAGTCACCGCATGTGCTGTCTTTCTTCTTCTTATACACACTCTTATTCACTCACACACTCCTTCATAAAAAAAAATATTAAGGTTTGAAATATATTCTGAAATATATTTTTCAACCTTTTATTCATAAGTGTACAATATCAAAAATGTACATAAATATGAATAAACACAGATATATGTATGTAAGAAAATTGAGGTTATTGTTTTCCCAAACTGATATTTTAATAAACACACTTCACTGCATTTTATCTTCTTAGTCATCAATACCTATTGCAAATAACTTCAAGTCAACTGTCAGGATTTTATTTTAGTAGTTCTATAGAATTTCATAGCAAACTTTCATCATAATTTCTTCTGCCATTCCACAAATCTTCAGCTTTGGAGATTGAAGACACCGAAATCACCTTTTCACCTTTATTTCATAGCTTTGTGAAGGCCAAGAAGAACAGACACAGTCAAGTGGTCATATGGTCATTCTACCAAGAGGACCCAGATATCTGGTGTCTGACCTCCATGTTCCTTGATACAGATATTTACACAGTCCATATTGTACAAAAACCACATCAAATCTATTTTTCTTGACTAAATAAAGTCAAATACATCATTTACACTCTGTCCCCCCATAAAATCCAACCACAACTTGATTCAGGAGAAGCAGAAAGATTTCCATTTTCAGAGAAATAATGAAAAACCATTTTTGAATTGCCAACTTTCCAGAATCCTTTATTTAATAATAAATATTTTATCAAGAATTTTTGGTGTTCATATTTCAAATGCTCGACATTTTTGTTTGCATCATAGCTAGCAACAAAATATATATGATGCTGGAGGAAAGTTGGAGGTACTAGCCCCTACTTTGGAAATCTCTCATGGCTATTCCACCAAGTATTTACTGTCTGCTTTGCCACTTACACTATATTTTTGTTAGTTAGTTTGTTTGTTCGTGTCTCAGATTAGTATGAAGACATTTCATTTCAGGAAAATATAAGCTTTTTTCTCGTAAAAATAACTTCCATCAAACTGCAATTTTCTCCTACCTGAATGAAATCTAGGCTTAGCTATACACAAAATGTTAGAGTATTTTGTTGTTGTTGTTCCTACACTACCAACACTTACTACATAGCAGAAGCGTGAGTTAGCAAGAAGAAAGGTTCTTTTTCATATCCACCCATTAAATCTTGGTTTCAGTGAGTTTTCTTTCTCCATCTCTGCCATCAAGATGGCAGTTTGCTTCTAAGCACATTAGGTGGGGGAGAGGTAATTATCCATGCTCATGTAATATACTTATTGCATTATTTCCCCCAGGACATAGAAGAGTTTAATCTAATGTTTATAATAATACAAGCTTTAGAAATAAGAAATAAAACATAGATTTGAAGGGATAAATTGTAGGATTTCTATTGCTTATAAAAAGAAATAGTCATGAATTAATGAACCAATACTTTTTGTTTTACATAAAGAAAGCTGAACAGCTTTGTGTTCATGTATATGAGGTACAATTTGTTTCATTAAGTTTCACAAATTGCCTGGAAAATTTATCTCTTGCATGCAAAATAATTTTTCTGTACTAATACAGGAATAATAACCTGATTTTAATTGATTGACCTATGCTATTTTGTATTTATGAGATAATTAGTTGTATTTGCAATTGTCTGCTTTGACTTTGAAAAAGTGCACTGCTAGGAAGTACGTGCAGGTGTTGAATCTACTTGGTGGGACTCACAAATATACTTGATGTATTAAATAGACAAGCATACCAGAAATCGTAATTCTATTTAATAAATCAATAAAAGAAGCAGTTAAAATTAGCATCTCCAAAACTTGATAAAATATTGTATGTGCCATTAAAAACTTGGTTTTTATCAACTGAATTTTATAAAATTTTGTGATATGTTATCTCTAGTTCACCTTTTTTTGTTGTTTATTTTTAATACTCATTAAGCAATAGACCAGCATTGAGTCGTACATTAGGATAACTAAATTTTTGCTACTTTCGCATTCAATTTTTTTATTATGATTACTCTATTTTATAGTTTTTATAAATCAAAGGAATATTAGCTCCAAGTGTAAAACCATTTGCTTCTTCTTGAAATATGATTTACTGCTTTATTCCATTTCCTCATTTTCTGACCTCAAACCCAGCTTATAATACATTTTACAAAAGACATTATTTTCAATCTGCTAGAATTCAGGGACACACCAAGGTCAATTTTTGCAAGCAGGGATTTAGTTTCATGTTTCAATAGCTCTTGCAGAAATGATAAGCTATCTTCTACGGTGCACTTGTGGGTTCTCCAATCAGATGTGGCACTGAAGGAACAACAGCATTTTGCTACAGATATGGAAGGCCTCTCAGGGTATAGTGTGTTAACTACTTCAGGTTATTTAGTAGCAAAGCATTTCAAAGTCAGATGAGAGAAGAGAAAGTGAGGAAAATATTACTGTTATACTTACGTATACTGTAAAGTATGTTAAGAGTTATTTATATAAGCATTATTAATCAATATAAAACTAATATTAAATTATTATTTTAAAATTTGATTTGTTAAAATGTGAAATAAAAATATTGCAAGTTTGAACATATTGTTGACCACTAGAGAATTTTCAGCTTATTCTGAGATGACTTATATTGCTTTATGCATCCTTGCATATCTGGGCCCTGTTGTGGACCTTGTCATGTGGAACATGAGAAAATGTCCCTAAGCCATGGTAAGTATGATCATACCCACAACATAATGCATGACGAAAATTTTCCTTACCTTCATGATTTCCAAATAAATCTGTGAGATATTAGATAGAAAGAAAGAACTAGCACACTATTTGATGTTTAAAGTAGTCTGAGTAAGCCTGTAAACAAATCCTCAAAAATCAAATTCCACTTTTCATACCCTCATACATCAAGTTGTATGCTGCATTTTGGTTCTTTCTTTTTCTATTCATATCTGTCAAGTAAAACAATTTCACCAGGAATCTTTAACTCTCTAGGTTAACATATAAGGTTTACAGAGGTACTTCTATTTTATCTATTTCAACTCTCCTTCAAAGAAAATATGACATATAATTGTCCAAAGTGATTGACCTTGATGTTAGAGAGAGTTACTAGTTTTAGTATCAGTTGATTTAAATTTGAGATGTCTATAATTCTATTTCTAGATATGATATGGTTTGATTGTGTCCTCATCCAAATCTCATCTCAAATTGTAATCCCCACACGTGTTGAGGGAGGGACCTAGTGGGAGGTGATTGGATCATGGGGGCAGTTTCCCCCATGCTAGTCTCATGATAGTGAGTGAGTTCTCACGAGATATGGTGGTTTTATAAGTGGCAGATTTTCCTGCTCTCTTTCTCTCTCCTACTGCCCTGTGAAAAAGCTGCTTGCTTCCCCTTCACCTTCTGCCATGATTGTAAGTTTCCTAAGTCTCTAAAGCCATGTGGAACTGTGAGTCAATTAAACCTCTTTCCTTTATAAATTACCTAGTCTCAGGTAGTACCTTTATAGCAGTGTAAGAATGAAATAATACAATATATTTGTTAAATGAATCTATGTTTATATTGCTATAAGGTCTCAGAATTTCTTATGTTTCCACGGAAGAAACTAATCTCTCTCTCATATATATGACATGCTACCCATATTTGGTTATATTTAAAGCTCAGGTCACCATATATCCTTGATATTTTTTCCCCATAAATAATTGAGAATTCCAATACCTTTTCTACTTCTGTAATGATTTTAAGGCTATTTATCCTGCTGTACTCACTTGTAGGCTTTGAGTCATTGTTATATGATCTTCTAATAAAAATTTTAAACATACAAAGTAATAAGCGTAAAAGAGAAAGTAACTACCATTTTGTTATTCTCATAATTAGGCTTCTTATATTTTATGAACCTACAGTTTGGGTGTTCTCAAAAATGTACTAGAAAATCAAGTATAAATGAAACAGGGAAATTGTGAGAAGGAAAATAAGCGAGATAAGCCAGTAGGTGTGTAAATAAGAAAATCACTTAAAGAAACTCAAAAGGGAAAAATTAAATGATCTTATCAGCATGACAACAGCTATATGTTTAAATGAATATAAATTATGAAAGACAAATAAAAACTTAGGACCTCAATTTTGGGACCCCAATTTTCTCTCCCAAAAATGAAAACAAATTAAGCTGAAAGCCGAGTCATGCAAGAAACTGCCTTTTCTTTTGTTCCTAAGCAGATAGCTACAGATAAAAGGGTAAATATATCCACAGGTAGCTACTCTATGCTCACGTCACCTTAATGTAAAGTTTCAGTTTACTGAGCTCCAGACAAGGAATACAGAATTAACTACATCCCTACTAGCTCCTTTTCCTTTGCAACATGTGGATTACCATACCTTCTCTCTTTCCCTTCCAGCCAGCTTTTCCCCTTTAAGTACTGAAGCCTTCAAAATTTTCTTTGAAGAAGAGCACAGATCACAGACTGTTTTTGTGATCTCATATATGTTTTTCTTCTGGGCATGTCTTTAACCTTGACAAAGTGAACTTTTGAATTGATTGAGGCCTGTCTCAGTACCTTTTGGTTTACAAAATGAAGCAAAACAATTGTTCTTCATAATACTCATATTAGACTCAAGAAAACCGCAAAAGATGGATAGAATATGAAATGAATTAATTGGTGAGGTGAAGGGTGGGGAGGGCTTACAAACCAAATATTTTATGCTGTAGCAAAAGATGATTTACATGCAAATTCACAAATTCAGAAATTATTAGCATTTTTACCTTTCCTAAAATGTTTTAATTAACAAAGTAAGATTCAAATGTCCCCTTTAAAAAGTACATTTGTAGTATAAAAGTTTGTTTACATAATTAAATAGCAATACAGAATATTCAGTATGCCCTGAATACTTGCAGTAATGACTCTGCCTGTGGTTTCTATTGAGTAAGAGAAAGAAGCATGACCTCAGAGTATTTCAGGAAACTGTGAAACCACATTTTCCTCTAAGAGGGCAGGTGATATGGTTTGGCTGTGTCCCCACCCAAATCTTATCTTGAATTATAGTTCCCATATTTCCAACGTGTGGGAGAAACCTCATGAGTGGTAATTAAATCATGGGGGATGTGTCTTTCCCATGATGTTCTCATGATAGTGAATAAATCTCAGGAGATCTGATGGTTTTACAAAAGCCCTTTCCTTACACCAGCTCTCATTGCCTACTGCCATGTACAATGTAAATTTGTTCTTAATTAGTCTTCTGCCATGATTGTGAGGCCTCCCCATCCATATGGAACTATGAGTCAATTAAGCCTCATTCTTTTATAAATTATCTAGTCTCATGCATGTCTTTATTAGCAGCATGAGAACAGACTAATACAAGATGTATCTCTTGGGTCTCAGGCAGCCTTAAAAGATGGGTTTCATTATTATCATTTTATTTCCTCCAGCTCAAGATAGACCCTGTAATAAAGACACTCTTTGATGAAGAAAGACTTGGTGGCTTGATTTTGTAACTTGAAGACTATGTCATGTAGTTTTCCTGAAATGTAAATAGAACTTACTGAATACCTTCTCATATTAAACTTGTGATTATATGCTTAATTATTAAAATTATAAAACATTCTATTTTTAAAAGTATAAGTAGAACAGTACAAATTTTTAGCAACTAAGAAAATAGTTGCTTAAAAATCAACCTCAACTCCATTGACTAGTGAAGCATATAATTGTAAAGTGTTTAGAAAATGGATTGACATAACAGGTAGGCAATACTTTTTTTATCTTTTGTTCTTCTCCTACAGGAATCATTAAATGCAATGAATTAAGGTAAAAAATTAGGTAATTTTCTGCTTTGCATCCTGTAATCTATCATAAGTGAATAATTGGGCTTCTTACTCCATTCAAATTTTGACAGTAATAAGATTTGGCAAGCAGACAGAAGATTATTATTACTATTATTTTTGCCCTCAGGCTGTTGTCTTTAAACACATGCTATTTCCAGTGGTTTCACAGATATATTTTAATTTAAAATTTTACTAAGTCTTTAATTTAAAAACTAGCATCACATAACCATTATAATTTCCAATACATGCTTTTCAGTCAAGTCAGTACCAAAAATCACAAAAAATTTATACAGAAGTTGAAATAGATCATATTTCTGGTACAATTCGTGTCCAATTTTCAGGTTACGCTCTGATCACAATCAGTTTACCAAGCATGAACGTTCACATTCTGCTTGTTTCAGGGCCATGGTTATTCATTATGTATTTAGTGTTAAATATAAAATAAAAATTCTTCGGATGATTGAAAATTTTATATCACACACTTTTAATTTTATAAGTCAAATGTTAAAAATAAATTCTAGATTCTTTCACATGAATGCCCGAGATTATATATATATTTCAAGAAGTGCCTTATTGAACTATGTTAATGGAGACTAAAATATGTCAATATTTTATGATAAAAAACCTTAATAGTTTTTTTTTTGGGAAAGATGCATGTCATATTTCAGCAATCCATATAATCTTTTATCTGTTATAATTCACTACTTCTTGTTGGTCAAGATCTTGACCAAGGTTTTTGAAGCGCAAATGTATTAGGCAACTCTTTACATTTTTGCAGTGCTGCCTGAATACTCCTTTTCAATTAAGAGCTGATGAGTGCTTTTAGACAATAAAAATTATTTTCTAAAACTGAATTGTCACAATAAGGAAGTCTCATCAAAAATGCTGTTTATTAAAATTCAGGTTTCATCGCCTCTCTTTGCGTCAGTTATATTCAGAGGCTTTACAGAGAGGAGTCAAATTATAAGGAGACAACAGCCTATTAGCTGGCATCTGGTATCTTCACAGGGTTTAAGACAATTATGATTATCTATTCAGATAGGCCTGTCAAAGCTGTTCTTTACCTCTGAAAGGTGCATTGCTCCTCATTTTCCTAGGATATTTTTATTTTTCTCATTGCACGCTAATGAGAAATGAACAAGTTGCCTAGGCCTTTCTAGGACAGTACTTTCAATGTGCACATTGTGACTTATTAATGGTTGTATAATCCTTTAGTGAAGATGTTGGAGAGTGTGGAAACCGGAGGTATCTTTAAATTAAAGTAAAAAAGATTCGGCTAGGATAGAAAATTAAATATTAGAGGGCATCACCCAAGTAAGTCTTGAAATATTCTTTTGTGAATAATGATATTTTATGTGTATATATATGATGTAATAATGTATATGTGTGTGTGTGTATAAGCTTACTGTGGTCACTTAAAAAACAAAGAAAAAGAAATGTAAAGCCTCCAATCTAGAACATGCACTGAAAAGTACTGCTCACCACAATAAAAAAGGCACAGGCACACACACACACACAGAGAAACACAAAAAGATACAGAAATACTTTTAAACATAAATATTCAATTGAAGGAATGAAATGAACTTTCAGTAGCATCTAATGGGCTAGGAATTATGCTAGATGCTTTCATATATTTAGTCATCCCAGTTATTCAAAATGTATTATGCTTCCAATGTTTAAAAATGAGGCAGAGCGATTCAGTCTATGTAACTTCAGCAAGTCATAGACTTCGTTTTCATCGTTGGGATTTATACCCAGGTCTGGCTCCACTACTGTTACTACTCAGGTTTGACGTCTAAAGCATTTATTTTTCTGTCAAGAGCTCAGTCGCCTTTGTGGTCTCAAGCCCACCAACACTGTCTCCAATCGTTGCCTAACCCGTTGGTGGCTACTAGGTTCACTATAGTTATGACACCTTGTTCTCACAACAGATGAGTCTGTTTTAATGAAACATTTACATTTATTACTTTTATTTTTTATGAAATCAGACATGATTTTCAGTACTAGTGATTAACAAAATATAACAGTCAAAAAATATAACTTTACATTATAAGCCATTGAAGTAAGTAATGATAAAGTGTTTAGAAAATTTCCTGGCACATAAGAGGTTAATAATAAAATTTATCTTGCTATGCTATTAGAGAGGAATCTTTTATATGCAATAATCTCAGCTGAAAAATAAGTACTTTTCTGCCTTTTAACTATAATCAGTAAACAGACTTATCATCTGTTTCAAAATGAAAATTTGACAATAGTAATATTTTAAGATTGTGCGAAACGTACATTTTTTTGTTTTTGGTCCAAAGGCTATTGTCTTCACACACTTCCCATTTTATACTAGCTTATCATAAGTATTTAAAATTGGAATTGTAATTAGTCTTTAAGAAAAGTCTGAATCAAGTCTAAAGAAAAACACAAAGCAAGCTTCACATTAAATTCAAAATTTTCCCTTCTCATAAATTGGGACATTATGCTTTAGCCAGATTTTTAGATTGCATCTTATCAACAATGTAACCCATATCTATGTACCAGGAAGAAATTGTGCCTCAAGTAAATAGGGAGCTTTCTGGATCCAAGACACGTCCCGGGGTGGCCTCAAACTAATGGATATCTTAACTACAAATATGGTTAGTATATATCCTATACAAAATCTCTTAATATTCCCCAAATTCTTCAAAATAAAATTCACACTAGTAAATATTACAAGTTCTCTTCTTGCTTACTTGTAACTAGCTCTCTACCATCATCTATGACCTTTATTTTTGTTTTGCATTATACTGAGCTAATATTCACTGTCTTATAATGTTATCTTGCCTCCCATCTTCACCACACACCACCTTCTTTCCACTCCTATTTATATGTATATGTACAATTATTTCCCACCCTTCATTACTCATTTCAGTTATTCTTTCTTCCAGAAAACCTCCAGAAACTTTTTTAACAGTAAGATTGGTAAACACTTACTTTAGCCCTAAAGCCTTCGTACCGCTATTGCACAGTATCTCTCTCTGCCTAAACCTTCTCTAAACTTGAGGCTCCTTAAAGACTATTTCTTATCATCCATGTATATTAAAGACCTAAATTACATTATAAAAAATTGATAAACTAGACAATAATTAATTTTCTGGTTTATCCACCACAAAAACTTCTTCAGTCCTAATCTATATGTCCTGCAAATTCAATGTTTTAAACATAACTATGGTGAAATCAATAGAGTATTTTAGATACATCACCTTAAAAAAATCACATATGTGTATGTCTATATATACATATCTTTGCAATCTGATTTAATTTTATCTAGACTCAACTGTAATCAAAGTGCAGCTTCAGTTTAAATTACCAGTGCCATCACTATAGATGGGCACATCAGGATGATTGCTCTGGCTCTGTGCTATTAAGGGAAAGGCACCTGATCTAACTAATTCAAAGAAGTAGCAGGTAGGAGGGGAAGAAAGGGGATCCACCACGTGGTAGTAATTAGAAGTTAAGAAAGAGGATCATACACTCCATTGAATATAGGCTGTCTTCTAGCCACAGAAAGACTGAGTTAGGGCAACACTGCTGAACGCCCACTTCTACATTTGACTCCTGCATTTTCCTGATTCTTTCTATGTGTACACCTTCTAATTTTCTTTTAATCAGTTGTCTTATTTATAGAAAGAGAACAGGTAAAGAAAAACTCAGACCACCCTTTACATACTAGATAAATTCTTGCCAATGTAACAGAGTTTTTAAAATCAGTTCAATTCAGTCCCCTAAATGTGGCTCTCCTGTTATTTATTCTTCACGGCTGTTTTTGGAGATTCATTTCCCTCATCTTCTCTAGCAACTTCTGTGAAGATGTCAGGGAAAATGACTGTCTTGAGGGATGAGCAGTTTGTTTAGTTTACTTCTTGTCCACAGATAGGTAGGCAGAAGGGTAATTTTAAGTCTCAAATATTCATAGTCCCTTTCTCTCCAGTCTGTGGGTATTTTGATAAAGTAATTCTCACAAAAATGTCGTCAGCTTCTTATCAATTTTGTTATGACCAACTCATGTGCTGATGGTTCTATTTATACTTTCTATATAGATCTAATTCTCATATTTGCTATATTTCTTTAGTGCCACTGTGTACCTCTCTCAATTAAACTATAGGTAACTTAAGCATATTAAGATTTTATTGAAAAGACAAATCATTTTATCATTTCTCTATGAATATTTTTAAATTAAAATATTTACTGTCCGTCCCTAACAGGGTATTTAGACTGATCACAGTGGCTATATGTCTGACTCCCTCTTTAATCGACTGGAAAGCTCTGATATTTGCATTCAGGATTTTGAAGAACAAGGACCAACATCATTAAAGAATGTTATAAAGTTAGGTTACTATTCTCCTAATTACACTCCCAGACACCACTGCCACTTCTAAAACTTCATTCATCATCATGATCAAAGCTTTCTCTTTCATGATTCATGATATCGAGATATGCCATCATCTTCCCTTCCCTTCTTGTTGTAATCTATTATTGTCCTGCATTGAATCAAATATTTTGACCATTGGTCTAATGTCTTACTGTCCATCTCATACTTGGCACCAGTGTCTGTGATGTGTGTATAATTTGGTTTATCCAAAACTTTGGCCTTCTGATTGAATTCCTCTGCTCCATGCCACATCATTCATTTTTTCCCTTGGTCAAATCTTTCTATGAATTTCCTAATCTCAGTAAGTTCATTGTATATTATCTGCATAAAAGAGGAAATAGAAACCATCATACAGGATGTTCTCCAGCTTTCCTCTACCAGACAATGAAAGCTGTGTGATATGCATCTATCTTTTCCTTGCTCCCTTCCACTGGAAAAGAGGAATTGCTGCTCTGCTAAGACAAATACAAAATTTGCTTCTGTACCATCTATCTTTGTTCTATAATCAAATTTGAATACACATACACACACATACCACCTCAATTTTTTTCTAGTCTTTGGCCAATAATCTCAGTATCACTAAAGCCAAGGTATATTCCAATTCCTAAACTTATTTTAAATCAAAACTGCATTTAAAATTCACATTCAATATTTTTTTAAATACTATCTCTTCTAGAATTTTGTGTTACTATATTCTACTGCATCTCATCTACCTATTTAATCTACTTTTTATTGTTTCTCTCACTTACCTATCCATTAAATATTGGGATAATTTAATGATTGGGACTAGACCCTTTCTCAGCTTCCACATTTGCTCCCTAAATAAAATATCAAATATGCTGGAACTTCAGTATTTACCTATATCAAATTGCTAATATTCATATTTTTTATCTCTAGTCAAGACTTGGCCTCTGAGTTTCAGTTGTATAAATCTAACTGCATTCTTAATATATCTATTAGAGTATTGCTCAATCCCTTTGTTTATAATCCTACCCCCATCCAATATTGGTTCTCTTCCAAAGTTCTCTGTAGAACAAATTTCATTAACATGCATGCATCCATGTTTTGCCGCACATCTAGGATCATCTTTGTATCTGTGCTATTTATCGCTTTGCATTTTTCATTTTCTGTCCCCATTCCCCAATCTGATTTTTACCCTTTTAATTTTCCAAGTACAAAGTAATCTTGCCCAAGACATGCTACATAAGCCCTTTACATGTATGTTTTTCTCCTTTTGAAATGCTAACTCTACCTTTCTCTCCAGCCTCCCTCACAACCACTTAAAACAAGTCTGCAAATTCAATATCATTCAATATTTCTCAGAAGTTTTATCTGACCCCACCCAAACTTTCTTAATTACTCTCTTTCAAAACAGCATGTGTTTATTGTGATAAGTATAAAATTGTATATTGATCTTTTGTTTAATTACTTCCAAACCACGGTGTAAGGATTAGGATTCATTCACTAAATTTTACTAAAACCTCTATACTTGTTATCTTTTACATACTTGGAACATACTACAAGAATAAAATAAATTAATAACTGCTTTAAGGCAAGAATGCTGGCATAAATGGATGAATAAATTTTCTAAGGCAAAACATTCAAATGCAGTTGGAATACATGAATAAAAAATCCTCTAAGGCAAAAAAATGATTACAATGTAGCTAGAAAACAGAGGGTATTAAGTAGGGCTAGGGCATATATTTTGAAAAGGTTATAGATGTCATAGGAGTAAGCGAGGTACCAGGATATGAAGAGTCTTTTATGGCACGTTAAGTAATTTGAACTTTATCCTGGTAGCAATGAAGAAATATACAGAAATTTTAAATACCAGAAGTTCCAAAAAGAATAGCTTTCTCAAAAACGTAAAGTAAAATTTAGGAGAAATTAATCTAATAAATTGTTTTACTATTTCAGATCATAGATGATCACATCCTGAAAATTACAATAGAAATGGGATATACTATGGTGGCTAGATTAGAGAAATATTGAGAAAGGAGAATCCACTATATACACTATACTTGCTTTATGTAGTCTTACAGCATCATAAAAATGACTATGAAAGTTAAAACCATGTGTAGCAATTTAACAACCAATGTGAAGAAGTGTGACTACTTCACGACCTTCAAAACTTCTGTCAAAACAATACAAGTAATGTGTCAGTTAAAAATGTACAGGGACATGGAAAAATGCAAAACTAATATTTATATAGTTTACTATATAACAGAAACATTCAGAATTAAAGTGTATTATTTCTTTTTAAATTTTTTTTATTATACTTTAAGTTCTAGAGTACATGTGCACAACGTGCAGGTTTGTTACATATGTATACATGCACCATTTTGGTGTGCTGCACCCATTAACTCGTCATTTACATTATGTATATCTCCTAATACTATCATTCCCCCCTCCCCCCACTCCATGACAGGCCCTGGTGTGTGATGTTCCCTTTCCTGTGTCCAAGTGTTCTCATTGTTCAATTCCCACCTATGAGTGAGAACATGTGGTGTTTGCTTTTTTGTCCTTGCAATAGTTTGCTGAGAATGATGGTTTCCAGCTTCATCCATGTCCCTACGAAGGACATGAACTCATCAGTTTTTATGGCTGCATAGTATTCCATGGTGTATATGTGCCACATTTTCTTAATCCAGTCTATCATTGATGGACATTTGGGTTGGTTCCAAGTCTTTGCTATTGTAAATAGTGCCGCAATAAACATACGTGTGCATGTGTCTTTATAGCAGCATGATTTATAATCCTTTAGGTATATACCCAGTAATGGGATTGCTAGGTCAAATGGTATTTCTAGTTTTAGATCCTTGAGGAATCGCCACACTGTCTTCCACAATGGTTGAACTAATTTACAGTCCCACCAACAGTGTAACAATGTTCCTATTTCTCCACATCCTCTCCAGCACCTGTTGTTTCCTGACTTTTTAATGATCGCCATTGTAACTGGTGTGAGATGATATCTCATTGTGGTTTTGATTTGCATTTCTCTGATGGCCAGTGATGATGAGCATTTTTTCATGTGTCTGTTGGCTGCATAAATGTCTTCTTTTGAGAAGTGTCTGTACATATCCTTCGCCCACTTTGTGATGGGGTTGTTTGTTTTTTTCTTGTAAATTTGTTTGAGTTCTTTGTAGATTCTGGATATTAGCCCTTTGTCAGAGGAGTAGGTTGCAAAAATGTTCTCCCATTCTGTAGGCTGTCTGTTCACTCTGATGGTAGTTCCTTTTGCTGTGCAGAAGCTCTTTAGTTTAATTAGATCCCATCTGTCAATTTTGGCTTTTGTTGCCATTGCTTTTGGTGTTTTAGACATGAAGACCTTGCCCATGCCTATGTCCTGAATGGTATTTCTTTACAAAAACTTATCAAGGGTAATTTGGGCAGTTCTTGCTTTCTTCCTCCCTACACAATATCAAGCAGACAACCTTTTTATTTCTTGGGGAATTTTAATATTCCTTTCTAAATTTGGAACCACTTCCAAATTTATATTTTGTGCATTCACTGTCTTAAAATATCTCTGAATATTCCTTTAATGCAAACTTTTTCTGGACATCATTTCTTCTGGAATATCTTCATCCCCTTTACTCCATTGTTCTCTTATCTATCCGTAAGTCCACCTTCACTAAGAGTCTCTGACTCTTAGTCAGAGACTGGCAATATCAACATTTCAATTGTGAACAACTACTGCATAACTTCCTTTACATTGGTTTTGAATTTGACTTTAAGTGGTATTATTTTTAAAAACTTGTGCTGAATTTTCATCTTTGTTGATCAATTATCTCTTTAGAGTATTTTTTTTTTTTTACATTTTCATGAAGTCTTATCACTGGGAATCAAGGAGGCAACACAACATGCTTTGTTGCCTGCATTTGGCCTGAGTAACAGACAGGCAGAGACCAATCACCAACAGACTTTGAAATAAATGGCATGTCGGTCATTTATTTGATACTGAAATGCAATTGTTATTTACACAGTGTTTTGTGGACTAAATAGATACCAGCAAAACATGTTATTGATTTAATTTTCATAGTTCATACAAGTTAGTGACTAAAATTTAAACTGCCTTTTTAAGGGACAGGTATTATTTGGCTAGAATGTGATAAGTAAAATTTATAGTTATTGGATCCATGCATAGGAGAACCTCCTTAAGTGATTGAATTTGAGGAGTAAGGAAGAAGATGGAATATAAAAAAATGCCAAATGTATTTGCTGATGGAAGGTGTCCTTTGCTGAGATGGGAAATGCAAGGGAAATTATATGATTTTAATTTTTGAAAATGTTACATTTATTGTATCTGTCTTCAGCCAAATTAGAAAGGTCCAGGATCAATAGGTCTGGAGATGAAGAGAGCAATCTGTGGTGAAAATAGGGATTGATAAGTTATCTATTTATAGATGGTACCTATTAGCATAAGAAGACAAGCCTGGAAAATATATTAACAAAAGTTGCCAGAGATTTAAAGGAAACTTGAGTATCTTATAAATCTAAGTAAAAGCTTAAAAAAAACCAAACAAACAATAGAATGTAGCATCACATGGTGCTAAAGGTCAAAATAGAGGTAAATATCCTTCTTGATTTAACAACAAGGAGATTATTATTGATAGTGATGAGAAAAATTTCAGAAAATTTTGAAGAAAATGCCAGATAATGCAATGATAAGGGGAGTGAATATAAAGTGTGAGAGTGAGGATAATAATAGAATTCTGAATTCTGAAAAATAAAACATATTCTAATTTAATTAGATACAACAATATTATATACAATACTAGCTAATTAAATCAATTTAATGATAGAAGTTCAATAAAACACAAATTAATAAATTTAGATTTTAGTAATATAAGTAATTTTCTTATATAGGGTGTGTTCTGTATGCCGATGAGAAGTATGTGTATTCTGTGGTTGATAAGTGGAGTGTTCTATAGATGTTTATTAAGTCCTGTTGTTTTAAGTGTCAGATTTAAATCAAGGATTTCTATGTTAGCTTTCTACCCTGATAATATAACACTGTAAGTGCGGTGTTGAAGTCCCACACAATTATTGTGTGGCTAAACCTTTTCATAGGTCTAAAAGTGTTTTTTTATGAATCCAGGTGCTCCAATGTTGGGTGTGTAAGTATTCAGAATAGTTAACTCATCTTGTTATACTGAACCCATTATCATCATGTAGTACACTTCTTTGTCCTTTTTTTTAATGTTGTTGATTTAAAGTCTATTTATTTGATATAATAATAGTGACCTCTGATCGTTTTTGTTTTCCATTTGTATGATAGATCTTTCTTCAACTCTTTGGTTTGTGTCTATTGGTGTTGCTACATGTGAGACTGGTCTCTCAAAGAGAGCAGATGGATGGGTCTTGTTTTTTAAATCCAATTTGCCATTCATTCTGTGCCTTTTAAGTGGGGTGTTAAGACCACTCACACTCAAAGTTAATATTAAAATGAGGTTTTGATCCGACGGTGAAGTTGTTAGTTGGTGGTTTTGTAGTTTCTATCATGTAATTTCTTTAAAGGGTCTTTGGGTTATGTATTTAGGTGTGGCTTTGTGTTAGCAGATATTATTCTTTCATCTCCATGTATAAAACTTCCTTAAAGGATCTTTTGTAAGGCTAGTCTGGTGATAATTTTCTTAGTGATTGTTTGTCTGGAAATGATTTTATTTCTCCTTTGGTACTTGTGAAGCTTAGTTTGGCAGTGTATGAAATTCTTGGTTGAGGTTTCTCTTCTTTGAGAATGCTGAAAACATGCCCCAGTCTCTTCTGGCTTGTAGGGTTTCTGCTGAGAAGTCTTCTGTTAGCTTCATGGGGTTCCTTTTGCATGTGATCTGACATTTTCCTCCAACTGCCTTTAAGATTTTTCTTTTAGTGTTGACCTTACACAGTCTTGTAACTGAATGCCTTAGTGATGTTTCATTTTGTGTAGTTTCTGGCAGATGTTCTCTGGATTTCTTGTATCTAGATGTCTACCTTTCTAGAAAGATAAAGTAAATTTTTATGAATTATTCCCTTGAATGTGTTTTATAGGTTGTTAATTTTTTTTTCTTCTCTCAAAGAAATACCAAGAATTCATAGGTTTGGTTATTTTACATAATCCCAAATTTCTCATTGACTTCATTTTATGATGTGGTTTTGGTCTTTAATTCTGTTTATGTGATGTATTACATTTATTGACTTGCATATGTTAAACCATCCCTGCATTGCTTAGATGAAACCCACTTGATCATGATGTATTATCTTTTCGATGTGCTGTCAGATTCAGTTAGCTGGGATGTAGGGGTGCTTCAACATATGAATATCAATAAATGTGATTCATCAGAGAAACACAATTGAAAACAAACAAACAAGAAAACCCACACATGGTCATCTCAAAAGATTAAAAAAATGCCTTTGATAAAATCCAATAATAAAACCCTCCACAAAATAGGCATCAAAGAAACATACCTCAAAATAGAAAGAGCCATCTATGACAAACCCACAGCCAACATTATCCTGAATGGGCAAAAGCTAAAAGAATCTCCCTTAAGAACTGGAAGAAGATGGTCAGGCATGGTGGCTCATGCCTGTAATCCCAGCACTGTGGGAGGCCAAGGTGGGTAGGTCACCTGAGGTCAGGAGTTTGAGACCAGCCTTACCAATATGGTGAAACCCCTTTTCTACTAAAATTACAGAAAAAAAAAAACAAAAAAATTAGCCGGGCATGGTGGCAAGCAACTGTACTCCCAGCTACTTGGGAGGCTGAGGCAAGAGAATCACTTGAACCCAAGAGGCAGAGGTTGCAGTGAGCCAAGATCACCTGCTGCACTACAACCTTGGTGATAAGAGCAAAACTCCATCTCGATAAAAAAATAAATAAATAAATAAAATAACAATTAAAAAAACTGGAAGAAGACAAAGATGTCTACTCTCACCACTCTTATTCAGTATAGTCCTGGAAGTCCTATTCAGAGTAATCAGGCAAGAGAGAAAAATAAAAGGCATCAAAATAGTAAAATAAGAAATCAAATTATCTTTCTTTTCTGACGTAGAATTCTATACCTAGGAAACCCCAAAGACTCCACCAAAAGACTAGTACTGGAGTTGATAAGCAACCTCGGTATAGCTTCAAGATTCAAAATAAATGTGAAAAAAGTCAGTAGCATTTATATACACCAATAATATTCAAACTGAAAACAAAATCAAGAACACAATCCCATTTACAACAGCCATAAAAATAATAAAATACCTTGTAATTTATTTAACCAAAGAAGTGAAAGATCTCTACAAGAACAACAACAATACTTTGCTAAAAGAAATAATAGATGATCCAAAAAAAAGAAAAAAGATACCATTCTTAAGAAACAGAAGAATCAATATTATTAAAATTGCCATGCTCCCCAAAGCAATCTACAGATTCAAGCCATTTCTCTCAAACTACCAACATCATTTTTCACAGAATTAGAATATATTCCAAAACTCATATGCAAGCAAAAAAGAGCCTGACTATTCGAAGCATTCCTAAGCAAAATGTACAAAGACAGAAGTATCATACTACCTGACTTCCAACTATACTACAAGGCTACAATATAACCCAAACAGCGTGATACTGATACAAAAGCAGACACATAAGTCAATGGAACAGAGTATAGAATCCAGTAATAAAGCCACACACCTATGACCATCCAATCTTCAACAAAGTTGACAATAACAAGCAATGGGGAAAGGACACCCTATTTAATAAATGGTTTTGGGATAAATGACTAGCAATGTGCAGAAGAATGAATCTGGCCCCTACCTTTCACAATATACAAAAATTAATTCAAGATGGATTAAAAGGACATAAATGTAACACCTAATACAATACAAATTCTAGAAGAAAACAGGAAATGCCATTCTGAACATTAGTGTTGGCAAATAATTTATGGCTAAGTCCCCAAAAGCAATTACAACAACAACAAAAATTGACAATTGGGAACTAATTAAACTAAAACGTTTCATATCGGACAAAGCTCTCATATCCAGAATCTATAAGGAACTTAAACAAATCAACAAGCAAAAAAGAAATAACCCAATTTAAAAAATGGGCAAAGGCTACGAATAATCACTTCTCAAAAGATAGCATTCATGTGGCCAAGAAATATGTGAAAAAAATGCACATCATCACTAATAATTTGAGAAATGCAGATCAAAGTCGCAGAGATACCATCTAACATCAGTTGGAATATTTATTATTAAAAAGACCAAAAAATAACAGATGATGGCAAGGTTGCTGAGAATAGGAAACACATATACACTCTTTGTGGGAATGTAAATTAGTTCGGCAACTGTGAAAAATGGTTTGGAGATTTCTCAATGAAATTAAACAGAAGTACCATTCGACCCAGAAATCCTATTACTAGGTGTATACCAAAGGAAAATAAATCATTCTACCAAAAATTCACATGCACTTGCATGTTTATTGCAGCATTATTCACAGTTGCAATGACATGGAATCAACCCTGGTGTCCATCAACTGTGGATTGAATAAAGAAAATGTGGTACCATGGTACAGCATACCATGGAATACAGTAAAAGCCATAAAAACGGATGAAATTATTTCCTTTGCAGCAATATGAATATAGCTAGAGGCCATTGTTCTACGCAAATTAGTGTAAGAACTGAAAACCAAAGACTCCATAGTTTCAGTCACAAGTGAGAGCAAAATATAGAGTACACGTGGACATAAAGATGAGAACAACAGACACTCGGGACTACTAGAGGTGAGAGGGTGAAGAGGGGTGACCGTTGACAAACTACCTATTATGCATTATGCTCACTACCTAGGTTACAGGATCATTTGTACACCAAACCTCAGTTACAACTTTTACCCGTCAAACAAACCTGCACATACGCTTGTTGAACCTAAAATAAAAGTTGAAAAATTATTTTTCTAATTGAATCTCTTTTATATTTTATAATTAGATTTTTGTTTTGCAATGGATTATAATATCAAGATGATTGGAGAGAAATAATATAGTGAAACAAGGATATTAAAATTTGAAAATTTATGAAACAACTTTGACAAATTCTCTGAAAAGTAGAAATAATGGCATTTTATGGTTAAAAATAGTTTAAAATAAAAATAAGAGAAAAAATTATTTTCAATAACATATCCCTGTTTATTAAAAAAGATTAGAGATTCACATTATCACCAGCATAATTTAAAGATGTTTGGAAAGATCTAGCCAACACAATAGCAAAGGACAAATAAAATACAAGATTCTAGAGCAAAAGATAAGATATCTTAATTTTTGTGTAACATTTTTAAGGTACAAGTAAATGAAATATATTAAAATGTCAATTCAGCAATGTTGTTATATAATTTATAGATTAACTTTCCTCTATTTTCTTGTAAATTTACAATGAAAATTTAGAATATATGATGAGAATATCATTCATATATAAAAATTTAAAATATGAAAACTTACAAATAACATTAACAAAAATATAAAAGTCAGTGTGGACCACTATACAAGTTGTGCTCATTGCCTGGACAGATGATGGACTTTTTTCTAATTTATCCCTTACAGATGTTTTGGTATTCTCACAACTAAATCGATATGTCACATAATCACACAAACTTGTAAATACATGTTTCTATTGACTGCTACATCATATTGCATAGAAGAATTTGGTCATCAGCCTGTACTTTTTTTTTCAACAAGCTTTTTTTGTTGGTTCATATTTTTCCTTGCTTGGGATGTTGATGACTTCTTTACCTGTTAAAAAGTTATGCTAGTAGTTTGGGCTCTTTAATTTTTCTTTAGAATGGAGTTATATTCATCTGAATCTGTGTCAGCATGTATTTATTTATGTCAGAGAAGATAGCTCTTCCCATCTATGAATAGTTGTCTTTTCATGTTTTCTGTACCTCTTCAGGGAACATTATATACCTATATGTTAATCTTTTCTTATTTGTTCTATCTTTGAGTATTTACTCCATAAACAGGTTTAGTATCTCTTATCCAAAATGTTTAGGCCCAAAAGTGATTTGGTTTTCAAATTTTGGAATATTTGCATATACATAATAAAAAATCTTGGGGATGGGACCCAAGTTGAAAATCAGCATTTATTTATATTTTATATCACCTGAAATGAATTATATACAATATTTTTAATAATTTTGTTCACAGAACGTTTTGACTGCTACCTGTCATATAAAGTCAGGGTTGGAATTCTTCACATATGACATCACTCAGAAACGTTCAGATTTTGGAGCAATTTGGATTTCAATTTTTTGGATTAGGGCTGTATTTCTTCTTGTATTTTACTTTGTCAGGTTTTTTTTTTTTTTTTTTTGCTTTTTTTTTTGAGGGGGAGTGGTTATCTATTAAATTCACCTTCCACAGTAATGATTCAATTATCTATGACCATGGTACTGAGACTGCTGCCAAACTGAATTTTAATTCCTCTATTAACTTCTTACTTTAATTTCATTCTACTATTTTCTTCAATTTTATTTCAAATCTATTCAAACCTTGTGTTTTTTTTCTTTTTCTTTATATATAAAAAGTGACAAAATTTTTCTCACACTTTTTATTTATTTCATTCCTTGTTGTCAGAAGATATGTGCTTATCATCTGAGTTTCTCAAACATAATTACATTTCACTTATTCTGTAATTTTTTATGGTTTCAAGTTATACATGTATTTGCAGAATGAATTTTCTTTTCTAAATTTCAGACCAATTTTATGGCGATTTAAAATTCTTCTCAAATCTATATTCAGATTTTAATTTCAAACATAGCCCTCTCCTATTGAGCATATATTCTATTTTACCATGCTGCCTGGCTCTCTGTTGTTAAGCATATACTTATTAATAATAATGCCCAGAATGTAATGCAACTACGTTTATTTCTTTTGCTACTTATGTCTAAAATGACATACATGAGCAACTGCTTTCATAATAGAACTATAACTTTTGAAAGGCAGAATTTCTTAATATAATTAGTGAGTTCAACTACTGGTATGTGAGGGAAGCTACAGCCAGGCTACGTTCTTTTAGAAAACATGAATCTTTGTTGTATCTTTGACAAAAATAGATTTTGTGTTCTAGAAACATTATTTCTGCCAACATGATCTTTTGGAGTTTGGAAACTGGCTTCATATCTAAATGTGTCAGGTGAGGTGATAACCTGTTTGTCCTATTAACACTACAGACACTGGTGCGTGATATAGCATAGTGGTTAATGATATCTTTGGAGCTAAAAGATCATGTTTCAAACCCTAGCTCTACTACCAAGTATATGATAATAAGCATATCTATTTTGATGGTATGGTGGAGGTAAATGTAATATGGTCTTAATATGATAGCTTTAACCAGTTTTCTTTTAGATTTAGCAAGCATACACTATGAGGAGAAGAAATTATTTCCATTAATTATTGAAAGTTGAGAAGAACACTTTTATTACTTTGAAATGAGCAGTGATCTGTCCTATCATTATATAAAGTGCCTTCATTTGATTATTTTAAAAAATTAAACCTGAGATGATGAAGCAGATAAAAATATAAGATGTAGTAGAATGGAACACTCTGGCCCTTTTTAAATTCAATGATAGTGACATTTTGTTTTTTTATGTGTACGTTATTAAAATGTACTCATTAAGAACTGTGCACAAAAACAAATTTTGTATATAAAGTTCTTACTCTACTAATGAAACTAGAGAATGACTGCAGCCTCATCTCAAATAATATCATTTTGTCATGTAGATCACATCAGAAAAACATAGATACAAAAGGCCAATCATATTCCATGGCATATTCACCTTAATTTTCTATTCACTTGAAACTACCCGACATCTTGTCACAGATTATTTTCCTTTGCAATATGCTCTAAGTTGAACATACAATTAATTTTGATATAAATTATACAAAACTAGAAAATATTGTAAATTGTTAACATATGGTTCTTAGAGCACACATAATATAAAAAGCTTATATAAATAGCAAGATAACACTTAACACTTGACTAAAATTTAACACTAGGTGAGAAAAGTGAGTATGAAAAATTTTATCTAGCTTTATAATATTCAGACAGCATTACTGTATGTGAAATAGATATTTTTTCTAAATTTAAAATAGCACAGCAGAAATAAATGAGGGACATTTATTTATTTTTGCATTTTTGAAGTAGTCTTCTTAATAAATAATTTTGTTAGAGGAAACTATTCTCTGTTATTTTATTGACTTTGGAGGTTTTACTCTGAAGATTTACTCTGGATTTTTTTCTCCATATTTAGTGAAGAATGAATTCTCTGATGGATATGACTGAAATTAAAAACAAAACAAAACAAAAAACAAGAGTCTATGGCCCAAATCTGTTTCCTCTGTCTTTTAAATGTCTTTGATTGGAGGATGGCTGTCTGCTATATTCAGACGAAGGGCAAAGCTTAGCTGCTGAGGCAGGTGTGGCTTCCCATCTTCCTCTGTACTTAACACTGAGGCTCAATTGCTTTGTGCCAGTAAGTACAGGTAAATATGACTCCTTCACACAACCAAACTTCCCCTCACTGGATCTTTCAAGATGAAGAATGGGTGAAAGTGCTAGGAGGTTTAGTAGTTTTCACAAACTTAAGTTATATTATCTAATCTGACTTAGTAAGAAATAATGCAAATATTTTAGTTATAAACTATCTGAAAATGTTGTTAACTAATCAATTTGTTCAGGTATTACAGGTATAATCCCTAGCCAGGGATTTATGCTATGCTGGTAATGTTCAAAATTCCCCTTGAGGCTCTTTGTACTAGCTTATCTATATTGTTTGCAGAAATATAGATTGATGGTTTAAACATAGTTTGACAAGTTATACAGACTTGCTTTAAGCAATGTGACTAGTGAGATATAATAACACCACTCAGTAAACTTGTGGCTGGCCTCCCCCGAAACTAAGACATATAGCACATATTCTAGTGCTTAATTGTCCCAAAGGCAAAGTAATTTCTTTGCCACTGTACAAGAACCCTGGGGCTATGCCTGGAAATTTTTACATCTCTCTATTGTATTCTGTCTTGTTGACTGTACCTATTACATTTACTGAAGTCATACTTGAGTACATACTGTGATGTCCTAAGGACTCTTTTTTAAATTCAACCTGTGTAAACAATACAAAATTGTATCCTAAAATTTGAGATAATAGTTCATGTAAAATTGAGCAAAATATTCCTTTATGTTGTTAGAAGTTCAAGAATTAACTAAAAAATGATATCTGTTAAAAATAGGAAAGCAATTACTACCAAAATCTCATTTTATTGATTACAAATGGTTATTTTAAGACTATGCATAAATTTCTATGTAAAAATTATTTGTACTAGACATATTATTTTTGCAAAGTGAAAAATATTATTTTAAAACATACAATAAAAGGAACATGTAAAAGTATTTTTTTTATAAAGAATGAAATTTGTAGCTTTCAAAATGTATACTTAGGTAGAACTAAGCTTAAGTTTAATAAGTAATTTTATCTGCAATATACCTTCATAATCTAATAATATACCACATAAAGCAAACAAAAATTTTATGAGGTAATCCATGACCTTGTAGGAGATTAAACTCCTTATAGGCCTCACAAATAATCTATACTTTCCTATTTTTTATTTTTTTAATATTTACTTTTTAATGTTTATTTTTTTGACCCGGGGTTTCACTCTGTCACCAAAGGTTGGAGTGCAGTAGCAAAATCTTGGCTCACTGCAGCCCCTCCTGGGCTCAGATGATCCTCTCACCTCAGCCTCCTGAGTAGCTGTGACAACAGGGGTTTGCCACCACCCCTAGCTATTTTTTTGTACTTTTGGTAGAGATGAGGTTTTGCAATGTTGCCCAGGTTGGTCCCCAACTCCTGAGCTCAGGCAATCCACTGCATCCAGCATGCTTTCCTATTATACTCCAGTTTTGATATACACTGAGGATTCAATGTTGTGGAAGAGAGACACAATCTCTTTCATCTGAAATATTTTAGAGTAACCTAATTAACTGATACAATATAATAGTAGGAACATACATTATTGGTTTTCTGCAAGTATCATTATGTACTATATATGTATATGCACATACATATCTGTCCTAATTTTGTGATATAAAATAAATAGAACATTTCTAAATCATTCAGCCTTGAAGTACTCATAATTTTACTTCATATTTACAATGAGAAAATAACCAGAGGGGTAAGTAAAGATGTATGAATAAGGATATTCAGCACAGCTTTACTAAACTGAAAGCATCTATGTACAGAATGAAAATCAACTTGTGGTGATTTCCACAGTGCATTTCTATAAAATAATAAGCAGCTATTTGAAATAATGACATAGAAAATTAATGATATAGAGAGTTTCTGTAAGAGATGAAACAGTGAAACGAACAAATTGAAGAAATGCGAATAATTACAGGCATTTAAAAATGTATATATATTTCATTTTAAAGGCCTAAATAATCATATGAAAACATTTTTATTAATTGCTGGGATTATGTTATTTTAATACTATATGTGAATTTCTATGTAAAAATCTCGTACTAGACATATATTACTATTATTTCTTCAAACTGAAAAATAATATTTTAAAATATACAACAAAAATAACGTAAAATATTTTTGGTAAAGAACAAAATTTGTAGCTTTCAAAATGTATATTCAGGGAGAACTAAGCTTAGGTTTAGCATGTAATTTTATCTGCAATATACTTTCTAGATATTAAAAACATTTTCTTTAAAGATTTTTCAATATTTAGAATTTTATAATAACCTTATAATAGGAAATTTTGGGGGGAAAAGGAGAACCACATTATTCCTTAATATTTAAGATCATATTATAGTTTATGTAAAATATTGATTAGATGGCCATATTTTTGCATAAGTGATTATTCTCTTTAATGTGTGGAATGGAACATTTTGTGACTCACTATGTTTTTCAGAACTACAGTAGATATACATAGATGCTTAATTGCCCTACTGACTCATGATTCCTCTTCTCTTCAGCCTTATGGAGAGATATTTTTACTAATGAAAATATTAATCACTCCAAGTTACTCAAAAATTATTCAGGAAATATTTGTAAAACTTTAAAACATAAAGGTGAAATTATTGGCAGTATATAGTCTCTGCACTTGATCTTCTGTCTACATCAACATTTAAACATTAAATGTTTTCTCTTACTCTGTGTTCACTCAGAGGCAAAAAATTAGTTCTTCCAAGAAACAAAAACCACTTTCTTTGGGCCCTCCTTATTTCCCCTATGTCGGTGAAGTATCTTCTGAAAATCTAAAACAGTGTTTATTTAAAAATGAAATACAAATTTATTTTGATTGCTTAATGTGATGACTCTAGAAAGAGATCACTGAAGTATCAATAATACTCTGTATTATGAGACTCATGGATAAATGAGAAATACACATTTTGTATACTTTTTTCCTTTTTGAGGCTAAAAAATGTGTTTATCCTATAATTCAAAAAAGATTTTTCTTTGCCAATATTTATTATTTTAGATATACTTTTAATGTTACCTTCTTTTCAGAGTTTTTTAATTTTTCAACCTAATAATTATTAAGTATACTGCATTAAGTATTAAATGAGAATGTGTAATACTGCCTCCTGTAGCCTGCTAACAAAATAGTCTATTACTTTTTCCCAAATCAAGATATAAGTTTCAACAATATAATCAGAAGGAATAGAATGCAATTAAATAATAAATGTAATAAATTAATATTGTAAAATTACATTATTAATAATTATTTTGGGAGAAAATTTTTGTTATTTGTTTAATCTGTCAAATTATTAGAAAAACAAAAGCACATCACACACTGGGGCTTGTTGTGGGGTTGGGGGTGGGGAGGGATAGCATTAGGAGATACACCTAATGTAAATGACAAGTTAATGGATGCAGCACACCAACATGGCACATGTATACATATGTAACAAACCTGCATGTTGTGCACATGTACCCTAGAACTTAAAGTATCATAAAAAATATATATATATAAAAAGAAAAACAAAAGCAATAAGCACATTTGGATTTATGTGTGCTCAGTTTGTTACATGAAATTTTTCAAAAGCTAAAAAGCTTTCCCAGGTAGATTTATACAAGATATATTTTTAAAGTATGGATGCATACACACACATACACACACACACACACCATACACACGTTTAAGGCTATCAATTAATTATAAAATATTAATTATGTCTGATTAAATTATATCAATCAATAGCAAGTATCTGCAATTTGTATTTTTAAATAGGAATACATTAGGCTTTTATTTTATTTCACTTATTTATTTTTTTGAGAATGAGTCTTGTTTTATCACCCAGGCTGGAGTGCAGTGGCACAATCTCAGCTCACTGCAACTTCTGCTTCCTGGGTTCAAGTGATTCTCTTGCCTCAGCCTCACGAGTAGCTGGGATTAAGGCGCCAGCCACCAGGCTCAGCTAATTTTTATGTTTTTAGTAGAGATGGGGTTTCATTATGTTGGCCAGGCTGGTCTCCAACTCCTGACCTCAAGTGATCTGCCCGCCTCGGCCTCCCAAAGTGCTGGGATTACAGGCGTGAGCCACCGCACTTGGCCTATATTAGGCTTTTAAATTAATGAATTACAAAACGTATGGCTTAAGATATATGTAGTTTTAGCGTACACACTATTTTTCAATATAAAAACCTTATCATGTCTTGAAAACTTAAACACCAGCAAATATAAATGCGATGAATTAACGGTATATATAAATAAGCCATTTATGTATTTATGTAGTTGGCATATATAAAGCCAAATACACACACACACACACACACACACACACACACACACACACACACGTGATTTTCATAAGTTCGGGATGAGTCCCTGGGTGGCCTTGATGACCCAACTCTTCCTCCCTTTCTCACTTGTGATTTCAGAATAACTGTAGAATATGCTGAGAATGAAACCTCTTGGGATAAGGAGGAACTGATAAGAACAGCTCAAAGTTCTCATGCTTCTTAGAACAGGATGTCGTGCAATGCTTTAGCCCAGCTTGCCCAATGGGCCCCGAGTATAAAACCCCGAGTGGAGTGCTTTTGGAGTCCCTCGGCTGCAGTGTGTTTTGGCTTACTTAGAGATGAGACTCCATCCTCCTTTGTCAGCTTTTCTCAGCCTCGAGAGACTGTTTCATCATGAATTCTATAATTCTATTGCCCCTTGTTTCCTATTGTGAGTAATAAAATTGCTTCTTTTAATTTGCATGTGTTCTGTTTAAACGAATTTGTGCAAGTAGGTTGATAGTGATGTATGTTATTAGAGAGGTGTTTAAAGTCTTTCCCTGGATGGATACCTGTGCCTGGTGAAACTACTTCACAATAGTTTTTGCTATTAATGTAATTACATGTATATATTTTAAAATATCTTTACTATAAACATAGAGTTAAAAAGCACTGCATAACTGAAAGTAGGAAAATAAAGCTTATTTCTTAATTGAATATAGTGTAACTTTTAGAGCAACAGCACCCAAAGTATGTTTGGCAAAACACAAACTCCCAGAGATGGTCTAGGAAAAATAGACATGTAACATCAAATTCTTTGGGGACATGTGGCATGGAGTATAAATGGAGACCATCACATTAAAAATATATCAGATACTTAGCAGGTGTGATCATTGTGGGTTTGGGTCTGATTGATTGTTGATGGTAGTTCCCAGATGACCGGCTTATGTAAGAAAACCTTGATTACGAGTAGAGAAGAGTTCAGTGCTAGAGTGGAGGTAGGGTGGATAGCTCAGAGGACAGTGTAAATTGAATTATTTAGAAAATGCATATTGTTAAAATTTTCTTCATATCAAATCAAGGAGTAAGTAACCATATCAGACAATTTGACATTATTCACATCATTAAATCTCAAACATTGATTAAATACTAGATATTAATACTAATATTAGGAAGTTGCATTATAACAGCTCCTAATCTAGATTAGTAAAACCGAAGTTTATATTATCATACTAAATTTACTTTCTGATTAAATAATTAGCCACAAAAATGATGGATAAAACAGGGATGCTTACTGTATCTAGACTTTATTCAATTTACTCTGTTAAAATATTTATGACAGCAGTAATTGTTTTAGCAAATCTTATTCTATTATAATACACATAGACCAATATCTCCCAAATCTACATTTTCTACCCCATTTGTGCCTCTCATCACATTTTTCCTGGCCTACTTGTATGAACCTTAACTTTCCTCTATTTTGGGTTCCTTTTGTTTTGCCTTCCCTTTGCTTTTGTTTTTCTATTTTGTTTAAAACAGCGTCTATCTATAATTTGCATTAGATTTAATTTCACATCATTTTTGAGCTCTTTTATCTGTGTACCTTCTTAAGGAATTATTTCTCCCAAGTTTGTTTACATTCAAATATTGCTGAACTAAGCAATGTTTTAACAACCGTAAAACCTTTACATACTTTAGGTTTTTGATGGAATGAAATATTTACTACATTTCAGTTATAATAGTGCGTTATTTTCAAACCCTTTTATTTTAACCAATATTTTGAGTACTCCCTTAAAAATGTAAAAAAAAAATACTATGGGAAAGGTAGGTTGGTGTTTGAATATAAGAATTTATTTGTGCTCCAATGCTGCAAGACATTTTTAATATAATTAAAAAGGCCAGATGCAAAATATTATTCAACAGGGAAAATGCAAACAAAATTATTTCACTGTGAATTTGGCTCAGTCATTTTAAAGGTGGGAAGTATTTTATTCAGTTTTGGGTTTTAAGCCTTTTTTTTTAAACTTTGAAACATTTCTATATAGTTTCAAGAATCCCAATAAGTAAATACAACATTTAGCAGAAAACATAAAAGCAGATAACAAAAATACTGATATAAGCATTTTACATGTGATAAATATAGTATTTTTAAAACAGATAAGAATTAAAATGTTTTGAGTAAGAATCGCTGATTAGTAAGCTAATTAATAATTAATATTAATTCAAAAATTATTTCATATAAAGTGTCTTTTAAAAAGTATCTGAAACTAATTTTATCATTGGTAAACAATGATAACATAGTCTGAAGACATCAATGTGCACATATATTAATATACATAAAATCCTGCAGAGCTGGAACCAAGAAACAAGATATGGCTAGCCTTTTGTTTTGATAATTAAATCTAATCATTATTTTTATGAACAAAACAGACACTTCACACTATATAGTTTAAAGAAATTATGCATTAATTTTGATGTATAGTCATTAAGATAAATCTAGAAAAGCACATAGTAAGACAGTGATAAATTGTATTTTTGGGAATATCACTTAAATTTTCTTCATTCAGGAAATTTACTACTCATAGAACATTATTTGGAGCTTCTATGATATTTATAAAGTAGTTGGCATATATTTGAAGTAAGTTGCCAAATTTCTTGCTCTAATTATGATGAACATGGTTGATGGAAATAAACATACACACACAGTGTGTGTTACATGAAGTTCCCCATAGCATTCTGCTAATCAGAAATTAATTTATGCTAATTAGATATTCTAAGACAACTGAATGCAGTCAAAGGAGAGACTAGGTCTATCAGTCATTGAAATGGTAATGTGAAAGCGATTAATTAATTAAAAAAATACATATCTGCTGGGTGCCAAAAGTTCTAAGTAGTGATGCCTGTTCATCTTAGGAGGTATAGTAAATAATTCCCAGGAATATTCCCTTTTCACCATTTGTGTTAAACAATTTTTTATCAACACAAAGCTTCTTCAAGTTGCTTTCCACAGTGGAATTATTGAGGACAGGATAAATTGGTACTCAGCATCCATTTCAAATATGGTATAATGAACATTCCTGTAGTCACTGAAGACTCATAGGCTTTGGATACAAATTAGATTTTTCCAATAAGACACATCCGCAAATGTTTTGAAGGTAGAAGTGAGTCGTTGGCATCCTCCTTTGGTTTTGGTTGTTTCTTGCTGGCAAGCCAGGTTCTAGAGTCATTGGGGTTTTCTGCAGTGGTGTTTTTGTGTCCTTTTATTAGGTTTGAGGTTTTGAAAGCCAGTTCAGTACACAGCAGCTTCTAGATCTTGGGATCACAGCTGCTGTAACAGGCTCCCCAAGTCAGCACATCCCCTATGGAGCTGGCTCCCCTGGATGGACAGTTTGTTAGTGCAGTTGTGGGAGCAATTGTTGAGATCCACCAAATTTCCATCTCTTCTGATGATTTTGTACAATCCTAAATGCATTTGTGTTTCAAATAGCTAGAGTTGTTTTTGTTTCCTGAAAATAATTACTGATGATTCAGAGCTATGTTTTAGTTGACAGGCAGAGCTAGCGTGTAAGTTGGCATGATATTGCAGCAAAACTGTTGAAGCAGTGAGCAGAGTTTAATCAATATGTGAAAGATGTTTGTGCTTTTTCTGTCCCACCTACTTCTGTATATCCTACCTTGGATAACCCTGGCTTCATTATTACTCTATGGTACATTTCATTGTCCTCACACTTGTATTATAACAGAAGCAAACAATAAAACTACGCTTTGTAGAGCTAAATCATCATCATAATGATGGCCAAATTATTATTTGAATTGGATTGAGTTTTTAATTTATTTTTAATAAGGTGTAACTGGGATAATTGAAACAATCACAGTCAGTCACATGCTAAGTGATTGAGGTAGGTTGGGTGTTTCAGACATTCAGATACAGTATAAAAGAAATCAGCTTAAGTGATGGATAAAACACATATATTGGAATGTGAATTCCCTCAGTGAAGAGCATCTTTTCCCTTCTTTTGTTCACTTTTCTGTACTTAGGGCCCAAAATTGAGTGTGGCACAAAATAAGTACTCAGATATTAGTTGAGCAAAAGAATATATGAATGATAATTTGGTATATTCTCTTTGAGCACTTTTATTCACTAGAACGATGTCTAAGTGTGTTGCTAACCGGAGGATAAATAGAGCTGTTGTTGCCGAACAATAGAGAATTCTAGATGCTGCTTGAGATCCTATGAAATCAGAATGCTTGGATGTAGGCCTTACAAATACACATTTTAACAGCAATAAAGTCTGAATATTAATTATTGTAGTAAAACTTAAGACATGCTGGCCCTTTCACCACCTGTCTCTGCTTTTGCAGTCTTTAAGAAATAAAATTTTGAAATAATCAATTTTCTATGTTTCCCAATAATTTTGTAAACACCTAAATTCGTTGGTGTTTCAAGTAGCTAGAGTGAGAGAGTTGGCATTCTTATTTTCTCTATTAATAGACCACTTCAGGCTTGGCTTTAGATTCTTCTTTTCCCATGAAATTTTTAACTTTATAGCCATCTGTGGGACAAATATATCATTGGTTCTCATCTTCCTAGGCTTATGCCAGCATATTCTCATTTTTTGGTCACCTGTAGTTTCTTCCTCATGTTTAAAAATTACATATTCTGCTTAGTTATGGATTGTAATATTCATAAAAGAACTATAACTATCAGCAGATTTGGTCAAAAATACATGCTTCAAATCTGTAGCACTTTTACATTTTATGTATCTTCTAGAAGACTACCTCTCCCAAAGTAGGGATACTTATTCTAACATAAAGGAAAAATATTGCTTAATACAAACTCCTATTATTTCCAGAGATTGAGAGCTAACCTGTTCATGACACCTGGTCAGTTCCTATTCTTGATGTTTTCTTCTTCAGGTAAAAATACAAACAAACTGCAGTGAAGAAATGGCACTAAAGTCAATCACCATGTAACCTTGATTCACTCACAATAAAGTGTAGTTTCTTCATTTCTCTACATTACCCTTTGTAAAACATTTCATAGTTGGCCATTAAATCAGCTTCTAACTCGGGGTCTAAGTAATGATCCCAAATTCCAGGATTCCAATTCTAGTCTCCTTTTTTACTAGCTGTGTCACCTCAGAGTGGCTAATTTTATTCTGTGTATCTCAGTTTCATCATGGTAAATGGGGCAAACCTACCTGATAGGACTGTAAGGACTGTGAGTTAGTAAATGAAAGTTGGTTAGGAGGGTGCTTAACATACAATAAGAATTCTTCAGATATTGTTATGTTAATAAGCACACTCTCACCCAATGTCACCTATACCATATAGCTATTTATTTACTTTCTCAGATAAAAATTCTAGTTATATTCACATCATTAGCCTTTACCCCAAAACATCACATACTTTCTCTCATCTCTCTAAGCCATTTCAATGTCAAATTGAATCCTATGTTCTTTGTGCTTAAGATTATAATTCATTTTTCTGAATTAAAACAGATAATTCATTATATAGTAAAACTTACTTTTAAAATCAAATTTGACACATATTTTCAAGAATGTGCAACACTAATTTGGGGGTTCAGAGGTCTATCTATGACTACATTTGTTTATTGTGTTCTTCATATACACAATATTGTTCTCATTTATTTATGGTTTGCTTTCAAGGTTTCAGTTACCCATAGTCAATTGCAGACCAACAATGTGACATAAAATAAGGTATTTGAAAGAAAGGGAGAGACCACATCCACGTAACTTTTATTACAATATATTGTTTGTTTGTTTGTGTATTAGTCCATTCTCATCCTGCTATAAAAAATTGCCCGAGACTGGGTAATTTATAAAGAAAAGAGGTTTAATTGCCTCACAGTTCTGCATTGCTAGGGAAGCTATAGAAAACCTACAATAATGGTGGAAGGCAATGGAGCAGCAGGCACCTTCTTCACAGGGCAGCAGGACAGAGTGAGTGCAAGCAGGGGAAATGTCAGATGATTATGAAACCATCAGACCTCATGAGACTCACTCAATATTATGAGAACAGCATGGGGGAAACTGCCCCCATGATCCAATTACCTCCACCTGGTACAGCCCTTGACACATGGGGATTATGGGAATTACAATTCAAGGTGAGATTTGGAGGGGAACGCAGAGCCAAACGTATCAGTTTGTTTGTTTTTTGAGACAGGGTCTTTCTCAGACTGAAGTGCAGTGACATGATCACAACTCACTGCAGCCTGGATATCCTAGCTCAAGCAATCCTGCCACCTCAGCCTGCCTACTAGCTGAGAATACAGGCATGCACCGCTGTGCCTGGTTAATTAAAAAAAAAAAAAATTTTTTTTCTGTTAAAATCTGGGATCTCTATATGTTGCCCAGGCTGGTTTTGAACTCCTGGCCTCAAGGGATCCTCCTGCCTTGGCCTCCCAAAATGCTGAGATTACAGGCCTGCCCTGGCCAATATATTGCTATAAATTGTTCTATTTTTCTGTCAGTTTTTGTTGTTAATCTTATACTATGCCTAACTTATAAATGAAATTTTATCATAGTTACATATATACAGGCAAAAACATAGTATATATAGCACTGGGTACTGTCCATGGCTTTAAGTATCTACCAGAAGCCTTGGAATGCATCTCTTGTGAATCACAAGGGAACTAATGTATTCTATGTACTCAGTATTTTTTTGTGTTTCCCTGTTTTGTGTATAAGTTTCTGGCAAAAATAGTTTCTAGTGCAGTTGTAGATCTGTCCCCTTTCTTTGTAATTCTGTTCATTTTTACTTCATGTTGTAACTTTCTGTTGGAATATTCCTTTTAATGTAATTTCAGAGCACCATTTATCTCCAATATATATTTATTTTTAGTCTATTACCATACTATTAAAGCTATACTGGCTTCCTTTTTGTTAATATTTTCTTTCTTTGGGTAATCATTTTTAATCATATTTTTAATTTATCTGTCATGTTTGTGTCATCAAAATGTAGGAATTCTAAAAATTATCATCTGAAAATTCCTCTTTTAATCAACTAGTTAAATCTGTATTTATTCATAGTGATTACTGATCATTTAGATTTGCTACTATTGGCTTATTTTATACTTATGTCATTTTGTGTGTGGTGTGGAATAGTCTCATTTCCTTCTTTCCTGCTTCTTGTTACTTTGATAACTTTTTAATTTTTGCTGTCAGATAATATTTCCTGTGTTTTATAACTCTGGAAGTTAACTACTTTAATATAATACTTAATCTCCTTTCTTATATTTTTAACATGTATGTTTCACTAAAAATATCATGAAGTCAATCAACCTGTCTATGCTCCTCCAGTACTTTGAAATTCTACTATAATTTATAGTTCCCAGATCCCCTTTCAATCTGTCATGTTATTTATTTGTAATATATGTTATTATTTCTTTTAAGATAACACCCTTTTAACTGATTTTTATTTATATTTATCTAAACATTTAGTTTTAGTCTTCCTCTTCTCTGTATTTTTTGGCATCTCAATTTTTCCTGGGGTTAGATTTCTGTATTATGAAGCTCCTGCTTTAGTTTTTTCAACAGTGATCTGGTAATGTTAAACTCTTTTTGCTGAGAAGAAATTGCTTATTCTACAATGACAATTTAGCTGGAACACTGGTTACATTTACATGTTTGTTTTTGATCTTTTCAAGTTCTGTACAATGTAACCAGCTGTGGATTTGGTTGTTTTTGTTTGTTTGCTAGTTTTTATTATTTTGCTCAAAAGTTATTTATCCTTCAACATAGGAGTAAAGACTTATCTATAACATTCCATTTATACAGCAATTCTGGAAATTTCTCATATACTATATTACTGTATTTAGCCTAATAGCCTATAAAATCTCAATTATTGCTATCATAGTAAGTATATATTAGACCTTCACAATCTAGTCCACATTTTAATTGATTTTTTTCCACATTTTCTTTCACTTTGCAGTAATTTGATTAAGGGCCTCAGATCTATCTTCTAGGTCACTATTTATTTGATGGTTAATCCATCTAATTTTAGTTTTGAAGACTAAGTTATCCCCGCCCTGAAGTTCCATATGTTTTTTCTTTTCAAGTCTGGCAGGTAGATTTTTAACCAAACTTGGTATTTCTGGTCAGCCTCTATCACTTTCCATACTGTCTATCTTCATTATAATTTAGAACCTTTTCCTTTTAAATGTTACCTTCCACTTCCATCTCTCCCTCTCTCCTTACCCTTTAAAGTCAATTTTATTTGTATTTTTATTTTTTATTTTTTTGAGACGGAGTCTCACCGCTGTCTCCTAGTCTGGAGTGCGGTGGTGAGATCTCGGCTCACTGCAAGCTCCACCTCCCGGGTTCACGCCATTCTCCTGCCTCGGCCTCCCAAGTAGCTGGGACTACAGGCGCTCGCCACCAAGCCCAGCTTTTTTTTTGTATTTTTAGTAGAGAAGGGGGTTTCACTGTGTTAGGCAGGATGGTCTCCATCTCCTGACCTCGTGATCCACCTGCCTCGGCCTCCCAAAGTGCTGGGATTAGGATTACAGGCGTGAGCCACCGCGTTGGCCTAAAGTCAATCTTAGAAATATCATTAGTCTTTACAAAAAAGCATCTTTTGGTTTGATAACACTTTACATTGTAAGTTTTTCTATTATACATATTTCTATGCTTACATAGATTAATTGTTTCATCCTCTATTCTTCGGAATTTCTTAACATAAATGTATGTCTTGTGAATTCTCAATATTATTTTAATATAAGCATTTCAGGTAATTACAGCCCCTCTAATTTCTATTTTAGTGGTATCTTACTCATTTTTATATGTACCCTTTTCCATTTCAATTTCTACATATTTCATTTTTGTTATGACTTCTTTGTTAACAGGAGTTTTGTGATGTCTTTTTTAAATGGTTTGAAAAATCATTTTTTTCTTATTTCAGGCTTAGACAATTATATTTTGGTAAGCCACTCTAGATACTAATTCTGTGAAATTTGTTGATATTTTATGGACAGATTTTTTTTTTTTTTTTTTTTTTTTTGAGACAGAGTTTCTCTCTGTCGCCCAGGCTGGAGCAATCTCAGCTAACTGCTACTTCCGCCTCCCAGGTCCAAGAGATTATCTTGCCTCAGTCTCCTGGGTAGCTGGGATAACAGGTGCCCACCACCGCAATGGGCTAATTTTTTGTATTTGTAGTAGAGACGGGTCTTCACCATGTTGGCCAGTCTGGTCTCAAACACCTGGCCTCAAATGATCTGCCCACCTAGACCTCCCAAAGTGCTGGGATTACAAGGGTGAGCCACCGTGCCTGGCCTCAATATTTTATGGTCAGATTTTCAAAATAAATCCCCCAAGATGACTTGGCATAACCTGCTGTTATGCATAACCAGATGCAATTTGATATACAATTTGATAACGATTGCAAAAATAGCAAAAAATGTGTAACGTGCTTTTATCAAATTGATTAGCTCAACAGTGTTACTAATGTTCAAAGTTTAATATATCATTGTTTTTGTTTTGTTTTACCTATCAATTGCTAAGAAGTATGTTAAAACTACTCTTTATGAAAATATATTGTATTTCCTATCCTATTTTCTAAGAGACTTTTAGTTTGAATTGCTAGGTAGATATAGGTACACATTTTATACATTCCCAGTACATTGAAATTTTAATTGTTACTTTGTGGCACTCTCTCTAGATGTCACATAGTAATACTCTTTTTAAAAAGCTCTCCTTGATATGTAAAACAACACAGAAAATTGCACATCAAAAATAAAGAGTTCAATAAATTTCTACAAAGTGAATGTATGATTGTAACCAATATCTAGATGAAAAAGTAGAAAAATACTAGAGTCCCAGAGACCCCCTAGTGTACCACCCATTAGATAAGAACTGTGAAGAGTTTTAGATTTTACCTTTTTCGTAAGTTAACAAGTAAACATTTTTTATGTTACTCCTGCTTTAAGATATGTATTAATATCACATTTTGATTTCAATCTTCATTCTACAAGTAACTATTGACAATGAGCACCTTTTAGTCTGTTAATGGTTCTTTTACTTTTAAAGTTTTTCACATATTTGGTGGGAATGCCCTGGATTTATGGATCAGCTTAGGGACCGTTGACATTTTTATAATATTGACTATTTGCAATCCATAGGTATAATAATTCATTAATTTTTCCATTAATTTTTAACTTCCATTATTTTTTATCTTCCTTTTTAACCTTTTTATTATTTTCATTAATAATTTGTAGTATTTTGTATAGGTCTTACAAATTTTTATGTGTTTAATTTATTTTTAGGTATCTTTAGATATTTATTTTTAGATTCTTTCATGCTATTAAAATGTATTGACATTAAATAGTAGCTTATATTTAATTGTTTATGGTATGGAAAAACACAATAAATGGTATAGGTAACCTTGAATCCATCAACCTTCCTAAAAACACTTATCTATTCAAATAAGTTATTTGTAGATTAATTGGAATTTTACATACACAAGTATTTCATCTATAAAAGTTTTTTCTCTCAAATCTTATGTGTTTTGCTTCTTTTCCTTCCTTACTGTACTATCTAGAACCTCAGTATAATATTGAATAGAAGTAGAAATACCACTTGTCAGGTTCTCATCTAGTTCTTAGTTGTAAACATATTAATTAATTAGTAACATATTAATAAATCCTACAAATTATACCGTTCTCCCCAAAATTTTTGTAGACAATGTTTTCAGTTAAGAGAATGATTTATTTCTAGTATGCTAGGAATAATGACATTGACTGGGTTCTTAAAGTTTAGCAAATAATCGTTCTGCATGTCTTTCGTTATGGTAAATTAGGTTGATTGACTTTCCAAAGTTTACAGAACCTTGAGTTTCTTGAATAAATCCAAATTTTGTACTGATGTTTAATCTTTGTTTTAATTCACAATTTTAATTTTTTTTATAGATTTTTGCTTTTTGAGGGATTGCCTTGTAATTTTTTTTCTTCCTTATAATGTTCCTATCAAGTTTTGGCTGCAATGTTATGTTGGCTTTGCAAAACAAGTTGCAAAATTATCCCTACTGTTCTATTTTCTGGAAAGTGTTTATGACAATTACTTTTTAAATGCTTGGAAAAATTATGCTTTGTTCTTTTCTCATTTCATTTTCCATATCCCTGTTTTTCTCAGAGATTATGTTTTTGACATCAAATTACTCCATTTAGTATTCATTTTTAAACAAATATGGCTATACCTTGTCTGTTTTCAGTTTTCCAAAATTATTTGCTGTTGTTTATAAAGGATAATTTTTGCTTGGGTATAAACTTCTTTCAAGACATTAAAAAGATCATCTCATTGATGTCTGGCTTCTATGCTTATTTTGAAAACCCATTGCAAGTGTTACTGTTTTTCTGCTGTTCATTTAATGGCAATGTGCCATTTCTTTCCCTGTGGATATTTTTAATATTCTCTCTTATCTTTGCTTTTGATCTGTTTTACTATAATAAGGCTAGGTTTGGTTGTATTTAAGCCTACTCTTCTTCGGGTTTGCTTATCAACCTGAATATGTGTCTTGACTTTTTCTCATAAGTTTTTGATGATTATTTCTTTGAGTATTGTTTCTTTCCCATGGTCTTTTCTCTTTTCCTACAATTCCAGTAATACCGACAAGGAACATTTGAGCATGCTCCAAATCTCTCTGTTTTTGTTTTGTTTTGTTTTGTTTTTTCATTTATTTCTCTCAGTACTTGAGGTTCTGCATTTTCTAATTTCTTTATCTTCCTCTGTCTTATTCCATGTCCAATTTCCAATATTTAATTAAACTCATCCATTAAGTTCTAAGTATCAGCTAGCATGTTTTAAGAGTCTTTTAATATATTCATATTCTCTTGTGAAACTCCCAATAGTGCCAACTATTTTCTAATTATTTTTAAAGACTTTCATCAGACTTATGTAGATTCCATATACTTTTCTTGTATTTGCTAGCCATCTGGATCATTCCTAACACTTTATATTATGATTTTTTTCTGCATTTTATTTGTAATATGTTAGATATGAGATATATGTTCTTGCTTAGGTAAATATCTGGTATTTCTTTTTTTAAATTTTGCACTCAGAGCTGTGTACATAAAAATAATAGAAGTTCTAGACAATTGTTTATTTTCTCCATAAAGGGCCTATTTTCTTCACTTCCATCCGTAATGAGCTAAGTTGGGGATGCTTTGACGTTTGAGTAGACCAAAGCGATCTCTGCTTTGCTTCTGATTCTCAAGCAAGTATCTGAAAAACAGGGGAAAATCCAATTTTTTCATAAAAATATTCCACCTTAGCTCTTAAACATTCAGCCCCATTCAGTTTCAAAATCTTACAAGTATCTTAAGGGGGAAAGTCACAAGTCTGCCGCAGGTATTAAAAATGTTTATTACATAAACAATAAAAATTTTTACTTTTGTGTGTACATGTTACAATTCCTGACATTAGCTTATGCTCTGTCCTTTGCTTATACTGCATCCTTTTCTCACACGTTCAGCAATATATAGCTAAATTACACTAGCTCTGGAAAGAGAGAGACTGTGAAAAATTATTTTCTATAAATTAAGAAATATTGTTTATGAACAACAACCTTCTACCTAGAAATAGAAAATTAAATTAAAATATTGGTTTTAAAATAATATGTTTGAAAATTCCATGTATCTGTCTTCCTTGGCCCAACATCAGGTACTCTGGCCCACCGTGAACGTACCCTACATTTTGTGCTGTAATGTTGCACTTACGAATAAGTCTAAGGCTATGTATACCCTCAAATTTCCTAGCTAATTTGATGCAACTTATTTCAACATAATTTTTCAAACAAAGTGTTATTTTAAAAGTGACATTATTATTTGCCTCTCTAGAGTAAGCACCAATTGAATAGTTTGGTATTATCGCTATAATGTTTAATCTTAAAATTTTAGATGAAAGACACAACTAGTTAATATAAACTACAAACTCAATGGTGGATTTGAATGTGAATTCAATATCTGATTTTATACTCAAAATCATCGTGAAAGGCTGTTTTGGTTTAAAAATCCTACTCCATTTTTATTACCCCCTTTCTCATTCTCAGTATGGAACCTGATGTTTTATCATGGTGACACTTCCTTTTTTTTTTTTTCTTGAGAGGGAGTCTCGCTCTGTCGCCCAGGCTGGAGTACAGTGGTGCGATCTCAACTCATTGCAACCTCTGCCTCTCGGATTCAAGCCATTCTCCTGCCGCAGCCTACCTAGTAGCTGGGACTACAGGCGTGCTCCACCACGCATGGCTAATTTTTTGTAATTTTAGTGGAGATGGGGTTTCACCATGTTAAGCAGGATAGTCTTGATCTCCTGATCTCGTGATCCGCCTGCCTCGGCCTCCCAAAGTGCTGGGATTACAGGCGTGAGCCACCGTGCCAAGCCGACACTTCCGTTCTTTAGTAATAATAAAGGATATGTGAACACGTGCAAACACTGACTTTGACATATTAATTAATAAACCTAATTTATTCCATGTATTTTATAAACAAATTAAGAATGAAACATAAAAAATTAAGGGATTCTTTTACCTGCATGTTTATAGTTTAAAGATTTTGTATATATCATTTCATTTCAAGTACTGTTAATATTTGTTAAATACAAATTTCTCTAATACACAAGTACTGATAGTAGAGTTCTAGTTACTAGATAAATGAGAAAATTAAACTATCTACATTATAACCAAAATATAACAATTAAATTTAGAACAACCAGTTCATTATTATAGCTAGCTTAATTTATATTTGGAAAAAACCATCAACAGAATCTTTAAATAATAATAAAAATGAGGTGGATCTGATTAGGTGACAGCCTAGTAAAGAAATAGTAAAATTCTCTGTTACATGCTTGAAAAAATCAAATCTTAAGCACATTTCTCATTTTGTGGGTGAACCTATGAATATGTTTATAGAGAAAAATGTATTATTTTGATTAATTCTTAAAATACAGAATATGATTCTGTAAGTTCTTTTAAAAATATTTAACCATACCAGAAATGCATATTTTCGTTCAAAATCATTCAAACTCTCATTCAAAATGTGTTATTTACATCCCAGTGTTCTTTAAAAAGTAAAGTAATTATCTATGTTCTGTGTATCTTTACAAAAAATACCTGAGAAAAATATTTAACATAAATTGCAATATAACATACCTATAATTCTACAAGGCTTCTCTTTCCGCCAATTGGCTATCTGTTAATTTCTCTAGCTAGCTTATTATCTTCTCTTACATATTACTCCACAGTATATCTATACTGTGATTATAATTGTTATTTCCCACTCTCCAGATATTTAGGGAGTCTCTACTTTTTTGTTATTATAAATAATGTTAAATTATCATCCTAGAATATACACTCCTGTATTAATGCAAGTACACTTACCTAGAATAGATTTTAAAACATGTATTAATATATCAATGTATTTATTTATTTTGATGTGTATTGGCAGGTTTCCCTTCAAACTAAATGCTCCAGTATAAAGCATTTACCTAAGAAATTATCTCACACCAGTTCAGAATGGCTATTATTAAAAAGTCAAAAAATAACAGATGTTGGCAAGGTTGTAAAGGAAAAGGAACACTTTTACACTGTTGGTGGGAGTGTAAATTAATTCAACCATTGTGGAAGACAATGTGGTGATTCTCCAAAGGCCTAGAAACAAAAATACTGTTTGACACAGCAACCCCTTTACTGGGTATATATCCAAGGGAATATAAATCATTCTATTATAAAGACACATGGATGCATATATTCATTGCAGCACTGTTCACAATGGAAAAGACATGGAACCAACCCAAATGCCCATCAGTGATAGACTGGATAAAGAAAATGTACTACATATACACCATGGAATACTATGCAGCCATAAAAATATATGATATGATATTGTTTGCAGGAACATGGGTGGAGCTGGAGGTCATTATCCTTAGCAAACTTGCACAGGAACACAAACCCAAATACTGCATATTCTCACTTATAAGGGAGCTAAATAATGAGAACACATGGGCATACAGAGGGAAACAACACACATTGGGGTTTATTGGAGGGTGAAGGGTGGGAGAAGGGAGAGGATATGGAAAAATAATTAATGAGTACTAGGCTTCATACCTCTGTGATGAGATAATCTGTACAACAAACCCCCATGACACGAGTTGATGTGTAAAACAAACCCTGCACGTGTAACCTTGGACTTCAAAGTTAAATTAAAAAACAAAAAAAGAAAATGAAATTTAAAAAAAAAAACATTTACCAGTGTGCAAAACCACATTTGAAGGGTCTGTGTCTTAAAATAATATGCTAATGCTTACATAAGCTAGTGAGTCCAAATGAGTAATGAACAGGTAGTAATAATCATAACCAGAGATTATGTATTAAAATGTTCTTTTTTTAAAGACTATGTATTTTTTCCTAAATACCTGAAGAAAAATAATAAAGATATATACTGTTTAAACACAGATTCAGTCTATCCTAATAAAACATAAAAATAAAGACCTAATAAGATTTGACTTTCCAAGGAACTTAACAGCATTTTACATGTAATATTTTTTCACACATAAAGCTGTCTTGCACCTAACAAGGTAAAATTTACAATTAGTATCACCTAATAAAAATTCACCTCATAATAAAAAGTGGATCAATAAAAACTATTTGAAGAAATTGTTTAGATGAAAGTATTCATAGGTATTAAAATATATGACTGTAATATATATATTCAGAAGCTTGATGAATCATTGAACTTATTAAGTAGAAGCATAGAAGATATAAAATAAAAATATGGAGAATATAATTACAATGGCTGAAAAAAATCCACCTGGTGGGATTTATGGAAGACTAGACATTGTAGAAAAATAGATAAGTGAACCTGAGGACATAGAAATAGAAACAATGCAAATAAAAGGGATAAAAAAATTTAAAAATAACAAAACATCAGTGAACTGCAGGATAATTGGAACCAGTCACTATAACATTGTTTTCCCAAAAAATGAGTAGAGAATGGAAAGAAGAGATATTTAAGATATAATAGCCAACATTTCTCAAATTTGATAACTACAAACTCACATTTTCAAGTAGCTCACCAATACCCCAGAATCCTCCATTCAAAAAAAAAATGGATAAAATGACACTATGTCATATCATGATCATACTTTCAACAAACCATGAAAACAGAAAATTTAAAAATCAAAAAGAGAAAATGACACATTATATATTTAGAAAGCAGATTTCTCATCAGAAATAACGCAAGTTTTAACACAATGGAGCAACATCTTAAAACACTGAAACAAAAGTACCTAACCCAGAAAAATATTTTTCAAACATAAAGTTAAAACATATTTTTTCAGAAATGCAAAATTTGAAATCATTCATTACTAGTAGATCTCCACTGAAAAAATAATAAAGAATGGGTAAAAAAATAGAAATAATGAATAAGACCTACTACTTGATAGCAGAACAGGGTAAATATAGTCGATAATTACTTAATTGTACATTTTAAAATAACTTTAAAAAGTGTAATTGAATTGTTTGTAACTCAAAGGACAAATACTTGAAGGGACGGATACCCCATTCTCTATGATGTGTTTATTTCACATTACATGCCTGTATCAAAATATCTCATGTACCCCATAAATATATACACCTACTATGTAACTGCAGAAGTTAAAAATAGAAAAATAAAAATAAAAAAATAAATAAAGTCTTGCAAATAAAAGAAAAATACCAGATGGAAACCTGTATCTAAATTAAGGAGTGACAAATTCTTGAAATGGTAAACACCATACAAAGTATGAAGATTTGTTTTCTTAATTTTTATTTTCTTATTTTTTAATATTAACTTTTTAAAGCAAAACAATATATAGCAAGGCATTTTTTCATATTATTTAAACTGGTTTAAAAGTAATAACAAAGATGTGGAGGGAAAACAAATGAGCACAGAGTTTTAAGATTCTTACACAAAATCTCTCTTCTTATTTCATCCTTTCTTTCCTGTTTTGATTCTAAATTTTGAAATACATTTGTAATATATGTACAAAGAAGGCATTAGTTACCTACTTTATGAAGTATTTCACACACAGAATATTTATACAACATAAAACATTCACTCTTATGACAGTATACATCTGAATAAAATTTCTGTTAAGTTTATAAAGAAAATTCTAGGCCAACATTCTAAATACAGTTTTGTTTTAAGGATTAACTGAAAGAGAAGCTTATCCTAATTTAGGATAGAGAAAATTCATATTTTCTATGTGAATAAGACTAGGCCATTAGAAAAATAAAATTCAAAAGTTACATATAAGTGGTTTCAAGGACAACTGCTACCATGGGCTGAAAATCTTATTACTTATACCACATAAAAAGGTTTTAATGAAAAACAGTAACTTATCATCATGCCAAAATTGATATCAAAGTTTGCATAATCAAATTACTCAAAATCAAGGCAGAATATCTATGAAAAATAGACAGTGTTTGCCATACTTATTCATTCAGATTTCCTCTGATTTTAATTCTAATCATTTATCTGGTAATGATAGTCCATTTGATGTCTAAAATCCATGGGTAAAATTAAGAAAATTTTAAACTGAGAAAAATGGCATAAGCTAAAAACCCTATGGTGTAATGTAAAGTTTAGTGAATTTGAAGCTAGACCGACTTAGGTTCATACCTTAACTTTTTAAAATTGTAGTCATTACGTCTAGATAAGTCCAAAAACCATTTTGACTTTAAAAGTTCCCAACTAGAAATTCACATATAAATTTAGTTTGATTATTACATTAATGAATATATGTGAAATATATAATACATAATCTTCCTTGTAAATAAATCAATCTATATTTATTTTCAATTTAATGCAGAGTTTTAAAGCGTTTTTGAAATAAAAATCAATATTGCTATTGCTTTATGATTTAGAGCATAGTGAGTTAGTGAATATAGAATTAAACAAGGAACATGGTAAGAAATTAAAGAAGTAGCATCTCTTTTATTGCTTTTGCAATTTTTTATAAGGATGTACATTTAAAGAGACCCAGGTTTAACAGTTTTGAAAAGCAGAGAAAGTTCAAGATTTTTATTATAATATGGGGAAGGCAAAGTTAACATTGATAAATATAGAATTTTAAAAATTATTTTCTACAGGGTTATGTCCACAAATAGTATTTTAAAATGATTTTGTAAATGAACAAGCATTGTCTTTTGTGTAACTTTCAGCCAGCTATAAAAACATGGTTACCTATTGACTTTGACTTCCAGAAAAAGGCAAATATAGAAAAACAGACTTGATTTATTTTAAGAAGAATTAAATTTGAAGTGAGGATTTTGAATAATAGCTACAGCTGAATTATTACTATAGGATAGTACTTATATGAGTACAGATGGGTAAAACTTTTTCCGTGGAGATCCTAACCACTTAGAAGGAAAGTTAAAACACATGGTTAATGGAAAAACTGGAATAGTTGCCTTCCATTACTAGATCCAGTTTTTCTAACAGCCTCTGCCTGTTCACTTGGAGTGCGAGATGAAGAGGGAGAAAGTAGTTAGTAAGGAGGGTCACTTATGTAAAGATTCACTTACGTACATAATTATCATAAAAATTTATCAGAATCATAAATTGTCTACCTGAAGATTTGCCTATAATTCTAAGGTTAAATTTCTAAATTCAGTAGCTACCCTTTCTACTTGGAAAGATTAAAGAAGCTGTATGTTGGAGAATTTTCACATTTCCTGATTTACCACCACTTATTTCTAAGATTTGTGAATCTCTTAAACTCACATATGTGACCTTCATGCTAGTATACTGTAACTTTAAACTTATAGTAAAATGTAAGGTATCCTTATTTTTAAATTTTAATTATAGAAATATATTAGGTGTAAAGATCACTGGAACAGAATAGAATAACTCTGAAAATCAAAAGCATATTGATTTATTGAAAAAAAATTAAGAGTCTTTAAAATGGGGGAGAAAGTGGTTAATCATTCAATAACTAGATACTGAGCCAATGACTACAAAAAGTATTTTAATATTTGGAAAACATGCATTATTTAATTTGACGCCATAAATCAAAATGGTTTATTGCAGAATAAATAATTAAAATGAAAAATAAAAAGAAAAACAAGAGAATAATATACTTGAATAATTTTCTATTCTCAGAATGGCAAGGTAATTCTAAAAGTTAATAAAAGTGAATTTTATTAATTTGGTCCTACAAGTTCCAAAACTGTCTAAATGCAAATATATATATAGAAAAATATATAAAATATACAATATTTTATATATTTTATAAAATCTATATCTAAATATATATTATAATATATAAATATGTAAATATATTTTATAAATAAAATATAAAAAAACAAATTTAAAGAGAACAACCTCATTGAGAAATATTCACATTATATAACAAAAAATTAGATGAGGAGATCTTCTGAATTAATTAAAGCCAATGGTTTATTCTATAATATCTATTAAACAATATCAATTAGTGGAATGCACTTCAAAAAAAAAAACTGTAGTGAAAGCCAGTTTTCTGGTTATAATACTAATGCTCATTATTTTTGCGTTAGTAATGTGTCTTGAGTCAGTCACTTAATAACTATGTTCTTAATTTCATTATTTGTAAAATGAAATTTTAGACTGAATGACAATTTTTTTTTTTTTGAGGCAAGGTCTCGCTGTGTTACCCAGGCTTGAGTGCAGTGGTGCAATCTGGTCTCACTGCAAGCTCCGCCTCCTGAGTTCATGCTGTTGTCCTGCCTCAGCCTCCCAAGTAGCTGGGACTACAGGCACCCGGCTAATTTTTTGCATTTTTAGTAGAGACGGGGTTTCACCGTGTTACCCAGGATGGTCTTGATCTCCCGACCTCGTGATCCACCCACCACGGCCTCCCAAAATGCTGGTATTATAGGCGTGAGCCACCACGCCGGCCAACAACCTTTTTCTTGTGATAATACTATGTAATAAGTAGTAGTGGATAGCTCCATAGGTGTTGAAATAGAACCCATTCTTCTCATCCTTAGGACTTTACATTTTAGCTGTGATTGTATAATAATATATGCACTATCACTTCTAGTTGTAAATACATTCCAAATATGTATAATTGTTAACATCTGCTCTAAGAATTCAGAAAGAATAAATATATTGGCTTTGTTATTTGTTTGTTTAAGAGATCAGGGAAGGATTTACAGAAGTTCTGGTAAGTGAGGAAGGCATTTCAGGGTATTGCATAATCAAAGAGATCTTGAGGAGGCAAGCTGAGTCATGTTCCAGGACACAGAATGGATGTGGTTGACTGAGGGTGGCCTCAGATCTCCTTCCCAATCCTGAAGTCACATTGTTTATAGCGGTAATATACTAGCATTACTTGGGAAAATTAGCTTAGTTACCATGGAGAAAGATGAGTTAGAAAGCAACTCATATTCTAAGGAATCAAGACATTGCTGGTCATTAATACACTTTCATTTAAATGCCTTTTACATATCAAAAAGTTAACCTGTGTGTGGGTGTGTATATATATATTTATTATATATATATATTTATTATATATATATATATATATGCATGGCTAATATGTGAAAAATGTTGAGAGCAAATTCTAATGTTTTTGAGAAACACAAACAAGATCACATTAATTATACTATATTTGGTTGGTTTCTTCACCTGTCTTATTCTATTAGTAAAATGATTTTGCTTATTAATCTATGTTTGACATCATGGAGCTCGATAATCTCATGTAGACTCATATGGCTTCAAAATACAGAGTCAAGTCAAACAGTAATATTCTATTCAGTCTCTACTTAAAACAACAAAATATATGACAAAAATAAAATAATATATCATAGGTAACTATGTTTTTAATAATTAAAATCATTTGGAATATTACATATTTTTATGTTAATGTTTTATTACAAGTACAGATAAAATGTTACCATTTAAAACAAAGAAAACCAATATTTTCTCTCAAATGTTGAAACTTTGAAAGTAATTGATAAAAGATTATAAATGCGAAATTTATTTAAAGTAACTGGAATTGCAAAGAATATTAGTTATTTTTATTTCTCTTTACTATATCTGAAAAGAAAAATTTGGTACTAAAGAATGTCAAACAATTGAATTGTATCCTTTTATGTTTCAGTAAGATAAAACTCAAGAGTACTTGCCATGGTCCTCTAATTGCATTTCAGTGTATATGTAGGGTGTGTTTTAGTCTATTCTCATACTCCTTATAAAGACATAACTGAGACTGGGTAATTTATAAAGGAAAGAGGTTTAATGGACCCACAGTTCAGCATGGCTCGGGAGGCCTCACAATCATGGTGGAAGAGAAACAAGAAGCAAAGGCACATTTTGCATGGCGGCAGTCAAGAGAGCTTGTGTAGGGGAACTCCACTTTATAAAACTCTCAGATCTCATGAGACTTATTTACTATCACAAGCACAGCACAGGAACGACGTGACCCCATGATTCAATTACCCCCCACCAGGATCCTCCCATGACACATGGGAATTATGAGAGTTATAATTCAAGATGAGATTTGGGTGGGGACACAGCCAAAGAATATGAGGGTGGCAGTAAAACATGGAAAAATTGATATTACTTTTCCATATAAAAGAATACCAATAAATTATTATGTGTTTGCCTATGCTTTCAGATTGAATGTCGTATAATACCAAACATAGCGCCTGAAAATATGATCATTAGTTGAAAGCTAATTAAAGAAAAAAAAACAGCATTAGTGCTCATATAACTTTTTAAAAATTTTACAGAGGACATTATGATGATTACCAACAGTGAAGTTTCATCTTCCTGCTTGGATTTGTGTATATGTGTGGCTCTGATTATCGAAAAATGTATACAGTTAATGCAAGGGTTATGCTCAATATAAAGGAAAATATGTGACTTTCTCTTTTAAATGTATATGTCTCATTTTTAAGACTTGAAGATATGTATAAATCTTGGCTTTAATTTTAGAAATTAAAACAAAATTTGCATCACAAATATGGAGAAAACTAAAATACTATGCAGTTAATTCTGAATATGTGATATAATGGAGTAGGTGAAAATATGTTGGTCATCCAAATGGTCGGAACAAAAGTTATATATCATCTAAATATTTTATCTGGGATCTTTTAATGTTTCATCCTTTCAAAAAATGCATGACTATTGTTTAACAAAAGTAAAAGTACCTTCCATACATCAGATTTCTAATCTGGTTCTAAATAGAAATAAATTTTAACTTGGGCGTTTAAAAAAATGTTACTTCCACTAGAACTGCTAGCTTCCTCTATCAAGTTTTCCATTCAGATGTCTCTTACATCTCTTACAATTCTGAGATTGAAGATTTTAACAACAAGGTTGATTGTCTTCCCTTCCCACTGATGATGTTACATGATTAGTACCATTAATGGCAACTTCAATATAATGCTAAGGTGAATAGATTGTATCTGTAATTTTTCAAATAATAATTTATATGTTATCAAATTAAAAATGGATAATCAAGAAAGTATGTCAATTTTTTTCAAAGATGAAAACTAGCTCATAAAATTATAGTTAAAATGAAAACATATTCAAAGGTTGAATGAAGTATGATCAGATCCTAGGACTAGAAATGTAGCTTATTTAACATACCAAGTAATCAACCTTTTTATGTTTTTAAGGCAGTTCTCTATATTTCCACATTTTATACTCTTAAATAGTGAAACAAAATAAATTTTAAAAGTATCAATTGTTTTCCTTTACTTTTGAAAGTGATGATTCACACTGATTTGCCTGCACTTTGGCTCCTTAGGTTGGAACTGGGTCTAAGATGAAAAAAGCCAACCGTATGGCAATTTGAGCAATCTGGTGTAAAATAATGGCAGCTGACACTGAAGAATCAGTTGAGATTCTATTACCTGAAAGCAGACATTGCAGTAATCTGGTCTTTCTTTTGTTCTGGACAACAACATTTACTCTAGAGCCAAATGAAATGATTTCTACTGCTCTCTTAGAAATGTACAACAGAGTTCTTTGGATAAATTTCTCTTTAAAGTCTTGAGAACAGCTGACCCCAGCAGTAAATTCCCGGCTAATGATCTCTGGCAGCATATACATGAGCATATAAAGATTGTTCTAATAGTTTATGTTATGCAAATATAACTCAACACTTGATAATAGAGAAATTTTAATGTTTTATATTAATTTTAATATTTCAAAAGAAAAAATAAATACCCAATTAAAGAAAATGTGTATTTCATCTTTTTAATCTTTGTTGAAAAATTATACTTCATATAATCTTTAAATTTTAAAAATTTGCCAATAATTACTTTCTATGAAAATAATTTGTGTTGGCCAAATTATGTTTGTAATAGCCACTATTTGAGAAATTAATTTTAAAATATAAAAATAAGTGCCTTCAGGAGACTCAACATGTAATTATATTCCCACCACTTGTTATGTCCTACTTAATGTGCAAATAAAATTGTCTATATGTTGGGAAACTAACTTTAATATTTGTCTACCCAAAAACCCTCTAAAGTTTCCATTTCTTTCTTGGAAATCCAGGTGCAGAAGAATGGAGATAGGAGTAATGAAAAGACATATAATTTTATGGAATAAGAAAAAAGAGGTAAAGATAGGTTGTTTGATTTTTATTAACATTCTATGCTCAATTATAAGATTTAAAAACCTGAAAAATCAGGGGAAAGAACACAAAACGCTCATATCTTAAGCCACATGCTATCAAAACACAAAAATGCTCATAGTGTCCAAGCCTTACAAATAGAATTGCACCAAGGAAATTTTAAAGTTAAAAATAATATGCCTCTTAAATTGAGGTCAACTTATAACTGACAACTGGTTTTCACACATTGTTTCCAAATATATGCATGTTCTACTCACAACAATGTCTGCAAAAAATGTAAAATTAGAAGCAGTAAATAACATATCATGAATTCATAAAGGGATAATGATTTTGGAAAAGGAAAATGCTACCAAAAAGTAAAAATAAAAGACAGTAGGGGCCTTGTATTTATTATCAACACCATTCGTACTTCTGGAAAATACCACTTTAAAATTTATACCATAAAAGACACTATGCCCCAGACACTTTGACAATGGACATTCATACAAACGGCAGAGTGCATTGATTGCTTATCTATTTATCAGTGTATTTATGGATGCATTTATATATCTATCTCTTCTTTGGAAAACAGATAAGAAAACAGGATAAAAAATTAAGTAATAAACTATGTTCATTTTTTGAAATTTGAACTAATTTTCAAAATTAAAAAAGAAAGTTTCCTAGGCGAATGCCAAATTAACCGAATGAATGGAATATGATCATATACTCATTGGTGATTGAAATTGTCATTGGTCTTTCAATATTGAAGGCTTGAAAAAATGTTCAAAAAATGCCATCTTTTCTTCCAAAGCGAATATTGCCCTGAATAATGTTAAATAGGCAAGGGAAACTTTACTTAAGGCTATTGCAACAAAAAAGAGAGGCCAGAAGTGATTCTGAACTCAACTCTGACTCAACAAAAGACAGTAGAGATTTTAAAGGCTGGTGTGAAAGGGAGATCATTGGCCATCTGTGTTTGCTTATTGGCTTTACCCAATACAAAAGTAAACTTTCTCATTATCTGCATGACAGGAGGTGGTTTTACAACTTGAATCCAGGTGCCTGCTGATATTAGGCCTCTACTCTCCTACAGAAACCGAGATAGAGGCTCTATTATTTTTGTTTTTTTAAATTTCAAATGTCCTTGAAAAGTACATTCCTAGACTGTGAAACTGGCAAAAAACTAGGAGATTTATATTTCTGAAAGACAAAAAGAATTTACAATGACAAGATTTCTAAAGTAAATCCCCCAAGAAAAGGGTGGTAACGTGCCTAGTGTGAAGAGCCTGTCTGAAGTTTACACACACCGAGGGGATAAGTAAGGCCTTCTTGGTCATTTTAAAGAAGCTTCAATGTTTCTTTTACAACATCTTTTCATTTAATTAAACTTAGTACATTTTTAAAAAAGTTTTACCAGATTATAAAGATTTTTTTTTTACAGTGTTAAATAACAAATGTGGGTATTTTGGCATCCATTTTAGCATTTATAGATGTAAAATTTTATATTTAACTTATTGTGAGAATCATGTAAGCTTTGAATCAATTTAAGGACACTTTAATTTAGTCCACCAGAAAAAATAAAATAATAGATGAATGTAAATATTTTTCAACCCCTAATATGTTTATATAGTATTAATCATTTTAATTTGCTGTTACAGCCCCACTTGTTTTTTATTCCTCCAATTCATTCAGCTAGCTACCTCCTGAACATAGGGCTGTACCTAGGATGTGCTGAGCCAGGGAAATTTTTTTCTTTTTCTTTTCTTTTTTTTCTGTGAGACAGAATTTCGTGCTTGTTGCCCAGGCTGGAGTTCAGTGGCGCGATATCAGCTCACTGCAACCTCCTCCTCCTGGGTTCAAGTGATTCTCCTGCCTCAGCCTCCTGAAGAGCTGAGATTACAGGCACACGCCACCACACCCAGCTCATTTCTTGTATTTTTAGTAGAGACGGGGTTTTATCATGTTGGACAGGCTGGTCTTGAACTCCTGACCTCAAGTGATCCACCCGCCTTGGCCTCCCAAAGTGCAGGGATTACAGACGTGAGCCACCGTGCCCAGCCAGAACTATTTTTTATGATACTTTTGTCTATATACATGATTTGAGGTACCTCATGTCAGCTGGTCAGCATCATTCTGTTGCTTATTGCCACACATCCTGTGAAAGAAATTCTGTTCAGGTCAACAGAAATAATTTCCTCACAAGGCTGTCCTCCCGGAAACTAGAGAAGCCACACACCACTGGGTCTTCCATAGGAGAAAGATCCAGAGCTCCTTATGACATCTAGTTGACCCATGACCAAGAAGGTCAGCGAGAACTCCAAGAAAAGAGGTTCACAGAGGGGCCCATATCTACCACCACTGGAGAGACCCTGTAGTTCCCCCAGTAGTCCCCCCAGTAGTCCCAAGAATTCAGACAATTTTCAGAAAGGACCTCTAAAGCCTGTGGAGTTGCGATCTAAAGGTTAGTGTTGTCTCCGTGTGTTGTTTTCACTACCTACAGGCTATTCTCTCATTTCACCTAGCCAGTGCTCATCAGCCTTAAAATCTGAACTTAAGCTGCACTAGGAAAGATTTCTAATCCTCCTCTGACTAGACTCAACCATCCATTTTTCATCTATTATAAAGTCGTGCCCTTCTCATCATATCATTAAACATAGTTATATTTAAATAACAATCTGGGCAATGATTTAATGGCTATCTTGGAAAGATTGTTACCTTAATGAGTTCAATGAGTCTTTCTCACCCCTAACCCCACCCCATTCTCTATTACATAACACAGATCCTGTTAACATGATCCATATTTGATGCACATTGATGAATAAGTACAATTATTTTTGAAATTGTTTTATTTTATTTATTAATTTCAACTTTTATTTTATACTCAGGGGTTACATGTCATGAAATTCTTATTTTTTCCCACCCCTGTATTGAAAAATACTACATAATTCCCATATGGACTCCTGTATTATCTGTATTAATTCAGTTTGGATTGGATGTAAATATTTAGAATTTTCTCCCAGGTTGTAGTTAAGTTTGTTACACTGGATAGCCATTTTATTTGTACTATTCCTTAGTCTTATAAAAATTGGGGTAAATAGAATAACTTTCATATTGAAGATGATAATAAAGATAACAAAGTTTTATATATTTTGCCAAGTTAACACACTTTGTAAATAGCAGAGCCAGACTTCTGCCACAAGCTAACCTACTCCAGAGCTCGTATCTTTATATTATCTTAGTTCATCAAGAATATATTGTTTTTACTTTGCTATGCAGACACAAGAAATTTTCACAGATTACTATATTTAGCACACATTTGTTTAATGCATATGGATTAGCAGGCTCAACAGAACAAAAACAACAAAAAATAGTACCATGTAACCAGTGGTTAGAAAATTCATTCTGGTGGGGAAGATAAACCAGTAAATAGACTATTATAAAACATTATAAAAGCAACAAGAGAAATATCCAGAGAATGATTTGCAATTACAAGGAGAAGTCACCTAACTTAACCTTATGAGAAATTAAAGGCAATATGTAATGTATGCCTTGAAAGATGAGCAAGATTTAGGTCTGTGGACAAAAATTATACCAGGAAAAATGCAGAAGGGCAAAATAAAAATGGGTATAATTAAAGAAAGATTGGAATACAAATATGCAAATATGATTATATGTTCTTCTAATATATACAAATGACCGCCATGCTCATGAAAGACCTGATTAACGGAAGATGTGAATGTTAACTTGAACCTTGAAGTTTAAGATGAGTTTACTTAAAAGGATGAGCAGATATAGAGGGATGTGTTTTTAGAGAGCATGCAGAAAGCCTGTGTAGAAAAGTTTCGACAAAAGTCAACATGGATGAGTTGAATTGCTTCAAAAGGATTTAATGAAAGGAATGCATTAGAAATATTATTTACACTTATATTGTACTAAATAGTTTTGGTGAAATAAATTGGTTAATGATACTACAAAAATTATTAGTTAATTGGACCTGAAAACTGAAGTAAGGTTGAGACAAACAAATGTTATTTAGTGCAGAGTCTTCCATTCATACATAAATAAATACTGAGAACTATAGCATGCTGACTTGGAAATGTGGAGAGAATAGTTGATATTAATTCCAGAGTTAATCAACTGATAGGAATAGAAATATGGAAATCATCTTCTTTCAAATAAATTAAGGTTATAACTTCTATTTGTATAATTGTTGACAATTTACGTAAAACAATGTATACAATGATTATATCCCACACAATAAATTTTTGAAATCTTGTATAAAGATTAAATCAAATTGAAATATGCATATACACATTAGTGTGAAAGAAGTTTTGGAGTTCTATAGAAACTAACTACCAAAAGACATTTTCCACAGCTAATTTGGTTCTAAAGTAGAAGATGACTAGATATTCATAAATCAGGTTCTCCAGATTTTAGAAAAAGTAAGCTTGAGAAATTATAGTATTTGCTATATAAAAGAAGAAGAACTCCTCATTTCAATCAAAATTAAATTTAGGAGTGGCACAGTGGCTCATGCTTGTAATTCCAGCACTTTGGAAGGCCAAGGTGGGCAGATCTCTTGAGTTCAGGAGTTTGAGAGCAGCCTGGCAAACACTAAGAAACCCCTTTACTACTAAAAACACAGAAATTAGCTGGGCATGGTGGTTTGTGCCTTTCTCTGTTTTAAGTTTTTGTTTGTTTTGTCAAAGATCAGTTAGTGGTAAGTATTTGGCTTTATGTCTGAGTTTGCTGTTCTGTTCCATTGGTCTATGTGCCTGTTTTTATAATAGTACCATGCAGTTTTAGTAAACACAACCTGGTAGTATAGTTTAAAGTCAAGAAAAGTATTAATTCACTCCCACACTCCCAAAAAGACATACCTGAGACTGGGTAATTTATAAATTCCAGCTACTTGGGAGGCTGAGGCAGGAGATTACCTAAACATGGAAGGCAGAGGTTGCAGTGAGCCAAGATCACACCACTGCTCTCCAGCCTGGATGACAGAGTGAGACCCTGCCTCAAAAAGAAATAATAATAATAATATAATAAAATAAAATAATTCAATTGAGATTTTGTAAGTATTGAAAAATGAGAAGAATTCATAATGAACATTTATATGCAACAGAAATAATGGATGCATCTATTGAAAAATACTGGCATAATTTTTATTTTATTTTATTTCATTAGTTTTTGGGGAACAGGTGGTTTTTGGTTGCATGGATAAATTCTTTAGTGTTTTTTTCTGCGATTTTGGTGCACCCTTCATACTAGCAGTGTAAACTGTACTCAATGTGTATTCTTTTATCCCTCAACCCACCCCTACCCTTTCCCCTGAGTCCTGAATGCCCATTATATCATTAAGCTTTTACATCCTCATAGCTTAGGTCAGATTTATAAGTGAGAACATACAATATTGGGTTTTTCATTCCTGGGTTGCTTCACTTAGAATAAAGGTCTGAAACTCCACCCAGGTTGCGGCAAATCCCTTTATTTTGTTCCCTTTTATGGCTAAGTAGTATTCCATGGTGTGTCTGTGTGTGTGTGTGTATAACATTTTCTTTATTCACTTCTTATCTGACAGACATTTAGGTTGGTTCCATATTTTTGCAATTGTGAATTGTGCTCATATAAACATGTGCAAATGTCTTTTTCATATAATGACTTATTTTCCTCTGGGTAGATACCCAGTAGTGGAGTGGCTAGATCAAATAGTAGTTCTACTTTTTGTTTTTTTTTTTAGGAATCTCCATACTGTTTTTTATAGTGGTTGTACTAGTTTACATTCCCGTCAGCAGTATAGAAGTTCTCCCTTTTCACCAGATCCATGCCAACATTTATTATTTTTGGATTTCAATTATGGCCATTCTTACAGAAGTAAGGTGGTATCTCATTGTGGTTTTAATTTGCACTTCCCTCATAATTAGCAATGTTGATCATTTTTTCATATGTTTGTTGGTCATTTGTATATCTTCTTTTGAGAATTGTCTATTCATGTCCTTAGCCCACTTTTTGAAGGGATTATTATTTTTTTTTTTCTTATGGCTGATTTGAATTCCTTGTAGATTCTGTGTATTAATCCTATGTCAGATGCGTAGCTTGCAAATATTTTTTCCCACTCTGTGGGTGGTGTGTTTACTCTGCTGATTATTTCTTTCAATATGCAGAAGTTTTTTAGTTTAATTAGGTACCTTCTATTTATTTTTGTTTTTGTTGGCTTTGCTTTTGGGTTCTTGGTTATGAACTCTTTGCCTAAGCCAATGTCTATAAAAGTTTTTCCAGTGTTATCTTCTGGAGGTTTTTTGATTTCAGGTCTTAGATTTAAGTCTTTGATCAATCTTGAGTTGATTTTTTATAAGTGAGAGATGAGGATCTAGTTCCATTCTTCTACATGTGGCTTGCCAATTATCTCAGCATCATTTGTCCTTTCTCCATTTTACATTTTTGTTGTTTTGTCAAAGATCAGTTAGTGGTAAGTATTTGGCTTTATGTCTGAGTTCTCTATTCTGTTCCATTGGTCTATGTGCCTATTTTTATAATAGTACCATGCAGTTTTGGTAAACACAACCTGGTAGTATAGTTTGAAGTCGAGAAAAGTATTAGTTCATTCCCAAACTCCCATAAAGACATATCTGAGACTGGGTAATTTATAAAGAAGAGAGGTTTAATTTACATGGAGTTCCCTATGATCAGTTGACAGAGGAGGAGAAGACAGAGAGTTAAGGGGGAGGTGCTACACACTTTCAAACAAACAAATCTCATGAGAACTCTATCATGAGAACAGAAAAAAGTGGAGTCTGCCCACATGGTTCAATCACCTCCTACCACATCCCTCCTCCAACACTGGGAATTACAATTCAACATGAGTTTGGGTGGGGACACAGAGCCAAACCATATTATTCTGTACCTGGACCCTCCAGAATCTCGTATCTTCTCACATTTCAAAGGACAATCATGCCTTACCAACAGTCCCCCAAAGTGTTAACTCATTCAAGCATTAATTCAAAAGTCCAAGCCCAAAGTCTCATCTGAGACAAAGAAAGACCCTCCTTCTATGAGCCTGTGAAATTGAAAACAAGTTAGTTACTTCTTAGATACAATGAAGATAGAGACATTGGGTAAATAGACCCATTCCAAAAGGGAGAAACCAGGCAAAACAAACGGACTACAGGCCTCATGCAAGTCCAAAACCCAGCAGGGCAGCCATTAAATCTTAAAGCTCCAAAATAAAATACTTGGACTCCCTGTCTCACATCCAAGACACACTGATGCAAGGGGTAGCTCCCAAGGCCTTGGGCTACTCTGCCTCTGTGGCTCTGCAGCATACAGCCCCTACAGCTACCTACATGGCCTGGCATTGTGTGCCTGCAGCTTTTCCTCGAACATGGTAAAAGCTGTCTCTGGATCTACCATCCTGGGGTCTGAAGGATGGTGGCCCTCTTCTCATAGCTTCACTAGACAGGAGCCCTATAGGGACTCTGTGTGTGGGCTCCAACCCCACATTTCCCATCTCCACTGACCTAATAGAAATTGTCCATGAGGGACAACTGTGGCAGACTTCAATCTGGACCACCAAGCATTTACATACATCTTCTGAAATCTAGACAGATTCTCCCAAGCCTCAACTATTGCACTCTGTGCACCTGCAGGCTCAAAGCCATGTGGAAGCTACTAAGGTTTCTGATGGCTTGCACCCTCTGGAACAGTGGACTGAGACATATCTTGGCCTCTTTTAGCCGCAGTTGGAGCTTGAGCACCTGGGATGCAGGGTGCCATGTCCCAAGGCTGCACAGAGCAGTGAAGCCCTGGGCCTGGCCGCCCAAACTAGTTTTCCCTCCTAGACCTCAAGGCCTGTGATGGAAGGGGCTGCTGCAAAGGTCTCTGTAATGCCCAGGAGGCATTTTCCTCATTGTCTTGGCTATTAACATTCCATTCTTCTTTACTTATGCAAATTTCTACAGCCTTGAATTCTTCTCCAGAGAATGGGATTTTCTTTTCTTCCACATGGTCAGGCTGCAAATTTTCCAAACTGTTATGTTCTACCTCCCTTTAAAATATAAGTTCTAGTTTCAGTTCATTTCTTTGTTTATGAAAATGAGCATAGGCATTTAGAAGCAAAGGGGCTACTTCTTGAATGCTTTATTGCTAAGAATTTTTTTTTTTTTGGCTAGATATCATAAATGGTCTCTCTCAAGTTCAAAGTTATAGATCTCTAGAGCAGGGGCACCATGCCACTGTCTCTTTGCTAAAGCATAGCAAGTCTTACCTTTACTCCAGCTTCCAATAAGTTCCTCATCTTCATCTGAGACTACCTCAGCCTGGAATTCAGTGTCCATATCACTATCAGCATTTTGGTCACAACCATTTAACAAGTCTCCAGGAAATTCCAAACTTTTCCTCATCTTTCTCTTTTCTTCTTAGCCCTGTTAGAACTGTTCCAACCTCTGCATGTTACCGAGCTCCAAATTCCCTTCCACATTTTCAGGTGTCTATATAGCAATGCCCCTCTTCCTGGTACCAATTTTCTGTATTATTCTCACACTGCTATAAAGACGTACATGAGACTGAGTAATTTATGAAGAAAAGAGGTTTAATTGCCTTATGGTTCCAAAAGCTATACAGGAAGCATGGCTGCAGAGGCCTTAGGAAACGCAATCATAGCCAAAATTGTAGGGGAAGAAAGTACCATTCAAACATGGTGAAGCAGAAGAGAAAGAGTGAAGCGGGAGGTTTACACACTTTCAAAGAACCAGATCTCATAAGAATTATATTACAAGAACACCAAGGAGGAAGTTTGTCCCCGTGATTCAATCACTTCCCACTGGGCCCCTCCTCCAACACTGGGAAGTACGATTTGACATGAGATTTAGGTGGGGAAAAGAGTCAGAGTATTTCAGGAAATGAGATGCCTCCAGATTTATTCTTTTTGCTTAGTTGTGCTTTAGCAATGTGGGATCATTTTTGGTTCCATATGAATTTTGGGATTTGTTTTTTTCTAGTTCTGTGAAAAATGATGTTGGTATTTTGATGAAAATTACATTGAATCTGTAGATTGCTTTTGACAGTATGGTCATTTTCACAATATTGATTCTATCCCTCCGTAGGCTTGGAATGTGTTTCCATTTGTGTGTGTTACCTATGATTTCATTCATCAGTGTTTTGTAGTTTTCTTTGTAGAGATCTTACACTTCCTTGGTTGGGTATATTCCTAAGTATTTTATTTTTTGGCATCTGTAGTAAAAGTGATTGCGTTATTGATTTGATTCTCAGCTTGGTCATTATTGGGCTATATCAGTGCTTCTGATTTGTGTACATTAATTTTGTATACTGAGACTTTAATGAATTCATTTGTTAGATCTAGAAGCTTTTTGGATGAGTCTTTAGGGTTTTCTCGATATACAGTCATTGGCAAACAGTGACAGGTTGACTTCCACTTTATCAATTTGGATGCCATTTATTTTTTTTTCTCTTGTCTGATTTCTCTGGCTAAGACTTCCAGTACTATGTTGAATAGAAGTGGTGAAAGCAGGAATCCTTGTCTTGTTCCAGTTCTCCAGGGGAATGCTTTCAACTTTTTCCCATTCAGTATAATTTTGGTTGTGGTTTTGTCATAGATACCTTGAGGTATGTCTCTTCCATGCCAGTTTTGCTCAGGGTTTTATTACAAAGAGATGCTGGATTTTGTCAAGTGCTTTTTCTGCATCATTTGAGATGATCATGTGATTTTTGTTTTTAATTCTGTTTATGTGATGTATCACGTTTATTGTCTTGTGTGTATTAAAACATACCTGCGTCCTTGGTGTGAAACCCACTTGATCATGATATATTATCTATTTGATATGATGTTGGAGTTGGTTAGCTAGTATTTTGTTGAGGATTTTTGCATCTATGTTCATCAGGGATATTGGTCTCTAGTTTTCTTTTTCTATTATGTCCTTTCATGTTTTGGTATTATAGTGATGTTGACTTCATAGAATAATTTAGAGACTATTCTCTCTTTCTCTTTTTTTTTATAATAGTTTCAGCAGGATTGGTACCAATTTTTCTTTAAATGTCTGATAGAATTTAGCTGTGAATCCATCTGGTCCTGGGCTTTTTTTACAGGTTTTTTTTTTTTTATTTGTTGTTATCTACTTGCTATTGATCTGTTCAGATATTATATTTCTTCCTGACTTAATCTAGGAGGATTGAATATTTTTAGGAACTTATCCATCTCCTCTAGATTTTCCAGCTTGTGTGCTTAAAGACATTCCTAGTACCCTTGAATGATCTTTTGTATTTATATGTTATTTGTTGTACCATCTCCCATTTCATTTCTAATTGAGCTTATTTGAAACTTCTCTCTTCTTTTCTTGGTTATTTTCATAAATGGTCTATCAATTTTGTTTATCGTTTCCAAAAACCAGCTTTTTGTTTAATTTTTTTTTGTTTCAATTTAATTCAGTTCCGCTCTAATCTTTTTTATGCTTTTCTTGTGCTGGGTTTAAGTTGGTTTGTTCTTGTTTCTCTAGTTCCTTGAGGTGTGATCTTAGGTTGTTTATTTGTGGTCTTTCAGACATTTTGAGTGGGCATTTAATGCTATGAACTTTCCTCCAAACACCACTTTGGCTGTATCCCAGAGGTTTATGTTACTATTATCATTCAGTTCAAAATTTTTTAAAATTTCCATCTTGATTTCATTGTCAACCCAAGATCATTCATGAGTAGATTATTTAATTTCCATGCATTTGTATAGTTTGGGGAATTTCCTTTGGAGTTAATTCCCAGTTTTCTTCCACTGTGGGCTGAGAGGATGCTTAATATGGTTTTGATTTTCTTAAATTTATTAAGATTGTTTTGTGGCCTTTCATATGGTCTGCCTTGTAAAATGTTTCATGTGCTGATGAGAAAATGTATATTCTGCAGTTGTTGGGTAGGATGTTCCATGAATATCTGTTAAATCAATTTGTTCTAGTGTATAGTGTAAGTGCATTGTTTCACTATTGACTTTCTGTCTTGATAAGCTGTCTCGTGTTGTCAGTGGAATATTAAAGTCTCTCACTATTATTGTGTTGCTGTCTATCTCATTTTTATCAGATAATCTGAATATTTATTCTTTGAAATATTCAGCTTTAAAAACATATTTTACAGTCTGTAAAACCACTAAAAAGAAAATATTGCTGATAGTTTACTCAGAGTGCTGCAGGAATAGTCCAAGCCATTGAAGTGATGAGGGCTTTGACTAGGGTTGTAGCTTCTCAATAAGAAAGTTTTGCTAGGGACCAAGGGGCTCTGGGATGTGTAAGAGGGATGGTTGGAGATCATCAGTCTTACTTACTTCTACAACCCTTTACTTATGCTCTATAGTTAATATTTTCTATTCCACATTAATCATCCTCTATCAATAGGCAGAGCTTACAACATAAATTTCTGTCTTCATTTATTCAATACTGTTTTTTTTTTTTAAATAGTAGTTGCTGGACAACAACTGATGGATGTAAATGGGAGAATGACTCTTATGAAAGGTAGGTACAGGGGACAAGAAAAAAGAGAAATATGTTCCCAAAAATATAATTGTAAGTCCGGGCGCAGTGGCTCACGCCTGTAATCCCAGCACTTTGGGAGGCCGAGGAGGGAGGATCTTGAGGTTAGGAGAACAAGACCATCCTGGCTAACACGGTGAAACCCAGTCTCTACAAAAAATACAAAAAAAATTAGCCAGGCATGGTGTCGGGCGCCTGTAGTCCCAGCTACTTGGGAGGCTGAGGCAGGAGAATGGCGTGAACCCAGCAGGCGGAGCTTGCAGAGCCAAGATCGCGCACTGCACTCCAGCCTGAGAGACAGAGCGAGACTCCATCTCAAAAAAAAAAAAAATTTGTAAAAAGAAACCTCCAAATTTTGTGGAGTTCCCATGAGATGATTAATGTACTGCCCAATATATCAGTAGTTTCATGTACTAAGCCAAGCAGAGAAATACAAATGCATTTTGAAATGCAAGAAAATGTCCCATTTTTCACACTTCTGTTGGTTCAGTTTAGATTCATGATGTAGTGTTAAATATGATTTATACTCAATAAAATACAAAGACAAATCAGTGGATGCTTCTTTTTCATAAGACTTTACTGTACTTGCTTATGAAAATTTTACTTTTAAAATGGTGTTAAATTCACCATTCTTTTTTTTCTGCTCTCTTTCCAATATACAGAGCTAATAACCTTTTCCAAGTCTTTCAACTTATTGCTTGGTTTGAAAGTATTTTAACTTCTGTTTGCCACTCTGAAATTGTAATAAATGATCTATGAACTGTCATCTATTCTGAGAACCAAGTAGGTCATTTGGTTTGCCGTTTAAATGCTTAGATACATACAGTCACATAAGGGAATATAATTTCAGTATAACTATTAAAAATGATAATGCAGCTCTTCTATAAATCTCATTACTTCAATAGATACCACGTTAAATTCAAACTCACTGAAATCTATAAGACTAAAACTGAGATAAATTTAAAAGGAAATTAAAACTTTAATGATTTGCAAACTTTTGCTCATTTACCTTTCAATTGTGAATTTAAACTCTTCTGCCTTAATTTTCTACCTGAGACTTAAATATGGTAGTTTATTATTAGTAGTATTAAATTGCTATTCAGCAGCATTGATATACTGTTAAAATTGCCTTAAGGAGTACAAATAAAACAAACTTCTTCATTTGATTTTATATTGAAATTATAAATCCAAGAATAAATCATTGTTCATTGACTCAAAAGATATTCAAGGTAGATAAAATCTAGTAAAAAGGAAACGAAGATGAATATTTTCTTAAAATTGATTTCTCTTATTAACGAATATTATACCTACACTCTTTTGAAGGTAAACTATTTTTTCAAGTCACAAGGTTATCAATTAATGATTAACTATTAGTTGCTCACCTTAGCAATACTCTTTTCTATGTGTAACTATTAATATTTATTATAGGCATCAAAGATCAATTTTACTAAAATATTTCTAGCAGTATATAATAGATTGTATATGAATTTTATTAGATATAGTATGCTATTGAGTATTGTAATATGGTGCAGGTAAATATAATTCACAGGGACTATTCACAGAGGCTATATACTGAATCTATTGATAATAACTTCCTAGTCAAATGAAAAAGTTAACTGAAATCTAGGAATTAGTATTTGTTAAGCTCCAAATACTTGACTCTTAGTAATTGCAAGGAATGAATACAGTATCATCTTGCATTTCTGTGCCAGGTCATTGTTGTAGCAAAGTTTATTCAATTTGTCTGAGTCCATAGTATTACTGCTAAAGTGGGTATTATATTTCCAAAATGCAATGCTCTACTGTCTAATTAAAGACACTTCCCTAATGCAGGACTTAATTATGAAGTGTTTGTTGTTTATCCTTTCCTTCATCCTCATTTTTTCCTAAAACATGGGCCTGGCTCTAGAATTTCTCCTATTTATTGTGGTTGTCCAAGTTGATTCTTTTCTGAATTTGGGTGAGAAGGAATGTGGACTTTCATTCATTGGTAGTGGGAATGCAAAATTGAACAACAACTTTGGAAGACTGTTTGGCAGTTTCTTACTGTTTGGCAGTTTTTTTCTTTCTTTCTCTCTTTCTTTCTTTTCTTTTCTTTCTTTCTTTCGTTTCTTTCTTTTTTTTTTTTTTTCCCGAAGTCTTGCACTGTTGCCCAGGCTGGAGTGCAGTGCCTTGATCTCGGCTCACTGCAAGCTCCGCCTCCTGGTTCACGCCATTCTCCTGCCTCAGCCTCCTGAGTAGCTGGGACTACAGGCACCCGCCACCACGTCTGGCTAATTTTTTGTACTTTTAGTAGAGATGGGGTTTCACCGTGTTAGTCAGGATGGTCTCGATCTTCTGACCTCGTGATCCGCCCCTCTCAGCCTCTGAAAGTGCTGGGATTACAGGCGTGAGCCACCGCACCTGGCAGACAGTTTCTTACAAAGCTAAACACAAGCTTTCAATACAAGATTCACATTTCTAGGTATTTACACAAATAAGTTGAAAATTAATATCTGTACAAAAACCTGCAAGTAAATGTTTATAACAGTCATATTCATAGTTGCCAAAACAGAAAGCAACCAGAATATTCTTCAATAGGGAGTAGATAAACATTTCCAAAATGTAGTATTGTTTAAAATTAAACAGAAATAAACTATCAGGCCATGAGATGAAATGGAGAAACCTCAAGTGCATGTTGCTAAGTGAAAGAAGCCAGTCTAACAAGGCTCCATACTCTATGATTAAAGCTACATGACATCCTTAAAAAGGATAAAACTATAGAGAAAGTACAAATATATCAATGGTTACTAGGGTTTAAGGGGTAGGAGAGAGAAATATTTAGGGGGAGAACAGGTTTTTTTAGGGCAGTGAAACTAGTCAGTATGATACTGTTATAGTCTATTCATGATATTATACATTTGTCAAAACCCATAAAACTGTCAGCATAGAGAATAAACCCTAATGTAAACTATGGACTTTGATTAATGTTAATGTATTAATAGTGGTACAAATTATGACACTAATGTATCACACTAACACAAAATGTTAATAATAATGGTAACTGTGTGAGTAGAATAGGATGCATATGGGAATATAGTACTATATGCACATTTTTTCTGTATTTCTGAAATTGCTGTAAAAATATAATCCTCATAAAAATTGTTATTGTGGTGTATTTAATATGATAAACATAGATATATCAATCAAGTAATATTGTGTCTTCTTAGGGAACAAAACCATAGGAATGGATACATCTTAATATAGGACTTACTTTTATGGATAGATGGATTAGTGGTTTTGTGAATAGCTTTTAGTTAAATACTCATAAAGATTCTTTGCCTTAGCTTTTGTCTGCCCAGAGTATATCTTGTACAAAGTTAGAGACATAGTTACTACTGTTTGCAAAAAGTCTGATGTACAGCTGAAGATAAAAATGTTCCTGGAGGCAGGGCACGGTGGCTCACACCTGTAATCCCAGCACTTTGGGAGGCTGAGGTGGGCGGATCACAAGGTCAAGAGATCAAGACCAGCCTGGCTAATATGGTGAAACCTGTCTCTACTACAAATACAAAAAGTAGCCGGGTGTGGTGGTGCACACAGGTAGTCCCAGCTACTTGGGAGGCTGAGGCAGGAGAATGGCATGAACCTGGGAGTCAGAGTTTGCAGTGAGCCGAGATCGCACCACGGCACTCCAGCTCTGTCTTAAAAAAAAAAAAAAAAAAAAAAAAAAAGTTCCCGGAGATACTCAAGGAAGGAACCTCCACACAGGAAAAACATTAGACCAGGATCTTTGAGATTTTTCTTTATCGGAAGTTGAATGGGTATAGCCCAGGTGCGGTGGCTCATGCCTGTAATCCCAGCACTTTGGGAGGCTGAGGTGCACGGATCACAAGGTCAGGAGATCGAGACCATCCTGGCTAACATGGTGAAACCTCATCTGTACTAAACACACACACAAAAAACAGCCAGGCAGGTTGGCGGACGCCTGTAGTCTCAGCTACTAGGGAGGCTGAGGCAGGGAGGAGGAGCTTGCAGTGAGCCGAGATCGCGCCACTGCACTCCAGCCTGAGAGACATAGTGAGACTCCGTCTCAAAAAAAAAAAGTTGAATGGGTATTGACATGTAACTTTGGCTGTACGACCTGTAATAGGTAACTTGCTCCCAAAGGGTGAGCATCCTGTTATTTGTCCTGGGAGATATCTGAATCTATCCTTTTAAAATTTAATATTGCAGTCAACATCTCCTCAAAGAATTAAGCATTAATGAATGAAATCAGTAGTCTGATTCATAAAGGCATAGTCCCTTAGTGGTGTGTCTGACTTATGACATTAGCTATAGTGGGTAGTCTTTAAGTGACAGAAATTGTCATCTTTATTCATTGCTCTTAGGACAAGAGTGAACAGCAATAGCCATAAGGAAATTTAGTGAGTCATCAGACACACTTAAACCTTCAGATTAAAGATTTGTATATAAAATATGAGCAATTTAATTGCTTAAGTCATTTAATTACATGTCTTCCTCCTTCCTCCTCTTATGTATAATCTGCAATACCTCCAGTTATAGAGACTGATATTTCTGCCATGATTCAAGAAGATTTTATTAGTTTCTTTGTATGGAGTAATTCACTTCATCTTAAATGTATTATAAATATATTTCTGCTGCTGTTATTAATAGAAGCATTTATATCACTTCCTTTTATAGGTTCCTGCAGATAGAATTGAGAGCATCTATTAATATTTTTAAATTTAAATTTTATTTATCAAACACAATCAATTTTCTTATTAGTTCTAGAAGTCACATTTTTTAATTTGAGCCTCTTGGTTTCCTGAATATATAATTATACTATGTGCAGCACAGCTCTTCTCTTTTCCTCCAGCAATAATTTATGTTTTTAGAAATTCCAAAGCAATTTCAAATACAAATTGTAGTAGTAGGCAGCCCTGTCTAGTTTCTGATTTGCTGGAAATTGTTTTATTGTTTCAATATTCAGAATATTACATGCAGATATTTAGTAGTACATAATCATTCAATTACTTTCCATCTATTCCATTTTACTTAGAGTTTATGTAAGCATAAAGTCTATATTTATAAAATTATGTGTTACCATCTATCTATTGGTGGTATCAATAATTCTGTCTATGAATCTGTTGAGGTAAAATATTACATTGATAGTATTTCTACCTCTGGATATTTGATAGTGAACACATTTGGTATATATATATGATTTTGCTAAAATTTGCCATTAATATGTTTAACAATTTTTTTTGGCATATATGTTCTTAAGTGAGATTAGCCTGTACTAATTATGTTACTGCACTAGTCCTTGGAGTTTGGGTGTAGACTCATCTCAGCTCTATAAAATGTTGGTGAGAATTTCATCACTTACTTTGGTGTGAAGTGACATTTGAGTTAATAATTAATCTGATTAAAAATAGCTTGAATAATTTTATCCAAGTTGATTTTTTAGAGTAGATATTTCATCATCATTCAATATCTTCCCTTCTAATTAGTGTTTTCAACATACTATTCCTGTGTGAGTCAGTTTTTAGAATGAAGTCTTCCCTAGGCTTCCTGACTGGATAGTTTCTGTATTTTCTTATTAAAATAAAAAAAATTTAATATTTCTTATTAAAATAAGAAAAGAAGAATTAAATAATTCGTTTTACAGATGTTCTTCTCACAAAATTTAGATATTTGGTTTCTCTTCCAGTTTCCTTTATCTTAAGTAGGCTCTTGAACAGTTTATCTTTTAAAAATTATTTTCAAAGAACAAACAAATTTAAATTGCTTTCCTGCTGTTTTATTATGCATCCTTTTGTTAAACTTTATTCATTTTATATTACATTGCTCTTACTTTTACATTTGTCTCTCTTAATAGATTATTCAGTTATTTTCCTGTGAGTTTTTTAATTTTTCAGGACTAATTTATTTTATTTATATATTTCTTATTAAATAAAGAAGTTATAAAAAATGTTATAAATGTTTTATGAAGTTACAAATTTTTTATGAAGGGATTTATCTGTACACCATGTTTTTCATATGTATTGTTCTATTTATTATTGGTTCTAGAAAGCTTATTATTTCCTTTTCAATTTTCACTTCTATACAAAATACGTTTTGGAATGTATCTTATTTTTAGAAATAGTTAATTTTTTTGGTCAATTTATAATTAGGTAATTTTATTTGTAAACAATAATAATCTTAATTAGTTTCTATATAAAAATCTCTCTTTAAAAATAGTGCTAACGTTTCTTTTGTACTCTAAGTATGTAATAAATTTTGTTTGTACATCACGGTCATTTAAAAAGATGTATTTGCATATATAAATTTTAGGGTGTGATATTTACCTCCTCTATATCTTTTTCTTCTTTTGTCCTCAAGATCTCTGCAATATTTGGAGAGAAATAATAAATTTTAGAACTATAATTATAGTTTTTTAACTTCTTCACACTTTTCTACTATGTTAGCTTTGCACATTTAATTGAAAGTACTTTGGTGTATTATAATTGAAAACCAAAACTAATTTTGTAGGAAAGACACCTAAATTTCTCAACTGGAAAAATGATTAAATACAAAACCTGAAAAACATGTGTAATATACACTAAATTCTCTTATTTATTTCAGGTTTTTGTTTTGATTATTTGTAGTAGGATGTACAATTGTATTATGATGTACAATACTTCAAGTAACTTGTAAATCGCAGTGCACTATCTCAAGTTACTTTGTCTAACATGTCAATTACTTATTAGACATCATAGTACAATACATTAAAAAAATGGAGATTAAAGCTGGGAATAAATAAAACTTGGAGGATAGGAGACCTAATGTGTTCCAGAAATGGGAAAAAAAAGAACAGATGAGAAGAATTTAAGTTGTTCAGTTGAATATGCCTAATGAGTCACAGACATGATTATTAAGAACACATACATTAAGAAAACTTAAAAAAGCTGTGAAATTTGGTTTTACTGAAATTTCTATCAAAATTCCATCAAGATTTTTTTTGTAGATACAAATAGGATTATTCTGAAGTGTAAATGAAAGATACAAAGAAACTAAAATGTGTAAAACAATTGTGTAAAATAATAATAAAGTGGAAAAAATCAGTTTACCCAGTTTTAAAATTCATAGTACATCTACATTACTCAAGATGCTGTAGTATTATCAGAGGTATATACACAAAGATCGGTGTAACACAATGGAGAATCCGGAAGTGGATGCATAGGAATATGCCTAATTTTTTGACAAAGTTGCAAAAGCAACTCAATGAAAAAAAGATATTCTTTCCAAGAAATGGTATTAGAGAAATTGGACATCCGTAAGTCAAAATAACAACAATGACAAGAGAACTCAGAAAAGAGAAGAAAAACTAATAACTAGAAGGAAATAAACAGAAAAACTCTCAACTTATATCAACTATAACAAAACCAATTCAAAATGGATTATTTGTAAAAAATGTAAAACATAAATATCAAACTTTATTAATAAATTGGAAAAAATACTCAGAACATACAACTATATAAAGAGTTCTTAACAGCAAAACCATAACCTATAAAGGAAGAAATTCATAAATTTGAATTTATCAACATTGAAATAATTTTGGTTCATAAAATCCCTGTTAAGAGGAAAAAAAATACAGGCTACAGAGTGATGGAAAATATTTTCAGACCATATATCTGATACATAGTTATATCTAGAATATATAAAGGAGTCTCAAACTTTACAGTTGAAAAATGTAATTAGATAATGAGTACATGAAATGAAAAGATATTTCACTGAAGAGTACATACAGATGGCAATTTAACACATGAAAAAAATGTTGAACATAATTAGACATTAGAGAAACACAAATTACAAACACGAGATTTCACCTTTTAACATACCTATTAGAAAGCCTAAAAATAAAAAACATAGATAACCAATGAGGTTATCCATGATAACTAACGATAAGCAAATGATATCTTAAGAGGAAGGGAGAAACTGATTATTCACGTTGGTGATGGGAATATAACGTGAGTAAAAATTTTTACCAGTTTCTTGTAAAATTAAAACGCAGCTATCATATAACCCAGGAATTGTACTCCTGCACCTTCATGCCAGAGAAATGAAAATTTCTATTTACCACAAAATCTATACAGATATATTCATAGCAGTTTTATTTATAATAGACTAAAATAGAAAATAATGTGACTATCCTCCAACTGTTGAATAGTTTAAAAACTGTGGTACGCCCACACCATGAAATACTACTCAGCAGTATATGGTGTCAACTATTTATACACAGAACTACTTGTTTAAGTGCCCATATAATTATGCTGTATGAAAAAAGTCAATTCTAAATTATTGGATTCTGTATGATTTCATTATGTAACATTCTTGAAATGACAAAATTTTAAAAATGGAGAAGAGGTTGGTGGTTGTTAAAAGTCAGCACTGAGGTTAAAAGAGGGAGGTGTATGTGGTTCTAAAATGGCTACACAAAGGATTCTTGTAATGACGGAAATGTTCTCTATTTTGCCTGTATCATTGTGTATATACGGGTTGTAATAGTGCTACAGTTTTAGCAGTTTGTTACCACTGGAGGAAATTGAGTTAAGTATGCATGAGATCTCTGTATTGTTTCTTATAATTGTATGTGAATATGCCCTTATCTCAATATAAAATTTAATTAAATAAAGCAAAAAGAAATTCCAATATTTAGAGGCTTAATAGAAAAATCATTTATTTGCTTAAAATTTGAAAGTTGATAGGGCTCAACAGGGACAGCTTTTCTATGCTCCAAGTGTTGTTAGCTGTAACAGTCAAACTGGGATCAGTAATACTGTGCAGAAGCCAGTCCAGGTGGCTTATTCACAGGCTAACAAGATAGTGTTGGCTGCATCTGCATATTGTCTGAGAGTTTCGTTGAAGCTGCATGCCTCAATTCTCTTTCATATAAGTAGATTTCTATAGCTGATCAGGTGACATAACTTAAAATTAGTATACACCTGCAAATGCTGTGGTGTGCATTACTTACCTGGCACCCAAGATCAAGACTTTTTGAGCAAGCAGGAAACACACTCATAAACAGCAAACAACCCGGCCCAGTCACTTTTCCCAACTTCCACCTTCATAAAGTAAGCATGGCAGTCATGTACTGTTCTTGCCTTGACCTACGTATTTGCAAGTGTAGCTACAAAAACTGCTCAATATAGGGAAAAACATAAGCCATGCAATCTGGAGCACTCAAGGATGTGCAGGGACATTCAGGCCCTTTGCATATTTTCTGTCCCAACAAGTTCATGTCTGTTATTACATATTTGCTTGATTTATAGCTATGTTTCTGGTGAGCAGCTTTCAAATAGGTTTTAGACTTGCTCAAATCCAAAGAAGTTTTGCTTCAAAAAGATTTTGCATTTTTCTAGGAAAAAGCAATCATTTATATTAATATTGGGATACATTCATTGAAGATTTTGTTAAACATTTTTAGTGATTAGAGTTATTGCAAGAGTAATAAAAATGATTTAAAACAATAGTCTGCAAGTTACTTGGTGCTGAACATGTAGATTCAGGTTACTTGGTCTGAAAATGTGGATTCAGGGTTAGACAGACTGGAGTCAGAGAACTGGAGTGAATGGCTGCCTTGGAATCACAGTGCTGAATGATTTACTACCCCTTCCTTTTGAAAAGCTTTGCATGTGTAACAGTGAGCACCCACAAAGTTAAGAATTCTTGACAGTGAATTGAGAAAGAGTTCAATAGATCAGACAGCTGTTCTTAATCTAGTGCTTCTCCTACACATGCAGGAAATAAGAACTTTAGTTTATCCACCTTTAAGCACAAAGATTTAGCAAACGGCATTCACTAATTCAATTTATGAGGGCTCTACCCTCATGACCTAATTTCCTCCCCTAAGTCCCACCTCAACATATCATCGTGGAATTAAGGTTTCAGCACATAAATTTTTGGGAAACACAGATATTCAGTCTGTTGCACTATCCTAAATCAGAGATGATGGATTAAGATTATCAAAAATACATCATAACATATATAAAACAACATCAAAAGTAACTAAAATGTTAAACTTAAAATCATTTTAAATAAAAAGAATAGTATGTAAGGGAGAAAGAACAAACAGTTCAGATGTCTTATTTAAAAAATGAGGGAATTGAAAAGCATTTGAGAAAGATCACAGCTGGTGGATACATTATTATCAATCCTGGAAGACTAGAGGCTGATTGAAAAGATATTTTCTCTCTCATAAAAGAAGTGCTGCAAGAAATAATATCCCTTCTCTGATTTCTTTCTTCCTTCTTTGGATCTCTTTTATGACAATAAATTGTCTTGCTTCCTCAGGACCAGAACATGAAGACTGATGGAATTAAAGACCAAGTAAGTGTTTTTTTTAAACAGGCAGAATGATGTTTTAAATATATTATTTTATCTTATTTTTGACAAATTCTTTAAAATTCATGGTTTTGTATTTCAAAAGTATATCTTGGAACATGGCTAATTTTGTAAAAATAATTGTAAATATAAACAGAAAGTGATTAATCAAAAATTATTTTCTCATATTTAAATAATATTAACGTGTTATCTTTTAATATCTTATTCCTTAATTTCATTTTGTAGTTACATAAAATAATCAATTGATTTTATGGTTTTGTGAAACTATGCTTAAGCATCGCATGTGGATTGAAGTATATTAGCTCCAACTCTGTAACTGTCAAGCTGTTCAGTCTTGAGCAAGACAATTAACCTGATTTTCTTCAAAAAGCACAGTGTTTAGTGTGGGGTGCTTTACATCCAAACATAAAGGGTTTGGAATCTTTGATTCATGCCCTACCATTGAACTCGCATCAAAAACAATGAAAACTCTTTGAAGCACTGTTTTCTACCGTTAAAATGTAAAAAAAAATAATATGTATCTAATTGGTTTGTTGTAAGGATATTGTATAATAATGCATAAGTACTTAATGAAGTCTAACACAGTAAGTAATTAGTAAATAGTAGTTGAGATACACATTTTTAATATTGCAATTATCATTATCTAACAGATGTTTTGAAAGAGTGAATTAAATATATTATTTAAAGTATGCTTCATATTTCCTAGAAAAGTTTAGTTCTCCTTCCTTCTGTTGTCTAATTTGGCTAAATTTATCAGCAAGGATGCATCACCATCTTCACTGAGGAAGGAACTATTATGACTTATATTAGAAAGAAAACATCATTTAAATAAATGTAATTGATTTGTTTTAGGACAGAATTTTAAATTATTGCATTAGGACTAACTTTATTGGTCCATTTTTTGAGGCACAGAAAATTTAGGTAACTTGTATATAAGCACACATTTAATATGTGAAAGTTGTGGAATATAAACCTGGGAGGGCTTCTTAGAGAGCTTGTGCTATTGAACAAAATGTTTTAGCACCCTTGGCTTAAGAGAACCCAAATTGAGGATTCAAATTATAATAAAATCTCTAGAAATCAGAACATAGTCATTAGTACGTTCATGTCAATCTGGCTTAAAAGAACCCCAGATTTTTCTAATTTATTTGCACAGCCTTGCTTGGTCCAGAATTTTGCCAGTTCTTTCAATTATTCCTGTATAAATTATTTATGTGGAAAAGCAAATTTGTGTTGTTTTAATATCATATTTTTTAAAGTGTGATTTTACAAAATCTATATTTCTCAATTCCTTGATATGCAATGCATAGTTATTACAAGATAGTTCCAGGTGAGATATTTAGAATCATATCATTAGTTGTTTTCTACAACATTTATGGAAAATAACTCAATATACTATTCATTCATCAAATGATTAAGTTGCTTTTGGTACAGAGACCACAAAGAAGATTGCTTTTCTGTAAATATCATTTCTGGGAGCTATTAGTTTTTTTAAAAAACTAATAGCTATTACATATACAATATATATAAATAAAACATTCATTAAGTAATATTAATATGATTACATTTTTAAAATATGCTTATCAGGAATTAATAGAAACTAATTCTTCATAGTTATTTTGTTTTTAGCTTCTTTGGTATTATGTATAATCTTAATTTTACTGTTTGATCATTATAGTTGAATTTTTCAAAGTAAATTTAAACTGGTATTATTTTCAGGGTTTTGGAAGCACTTCAGGAGGCAACAGTATGCTAAGATCAGTGTACTGGTCATTAAAAAAAAAAAACAAAGGGCAGTGCTTACTGCATGAAACTTTGTGGTGTTCTCTTATCACCAACATGTAATATATCCTTATATACTACATCAATGATACTGATGAGTTGAGGATCCAAGGGTAGTAAGGGTAAATTTAAGATTTCAGGAAAATGCAGGGTATTGTGTGGGAAAAAAATCCCATTAACTTACCATTCTTTCCAACATTCCAGTAGCTAATTTGTTCTTGATATAAAGTATCTTGTGACATTTACTTTTAACAGACAGTTGCTAACCGCTTCAATCATTCTGTCTTGGGATTCTTGGGATTCTTGGGATTATTGAGATGATGCTTTTCTGACTAGAAACCTCTGTAGCCAGTGATGCCTTTGCCTGAGTTATGCTTGGGCCCTTGGACTCGTTGGGTCCACTCAGCCTGGCAGGCTACACTTGGCAGGATCTCATGCCTGCCATAGGTGAGAAGAGAAGCCAGGGGTGTTTGAAAAAGCAAGCAAGGGGTCTGGCCACTGTGCATAGCAAGGCACTCTGGCTGTGGTGATTTGGGAAGCTCCAGGAGCCAGCATGGGTGCTGGCTTCCTGTGAGGCTGCAGTTGGACAAGGCATACCACAAGAAGCTTCCACGACTAGCACCGGAGAACACGGTGATGCCCGGAAGCTTGGAGACACCAGGAACCTGAAAAAATAATGGTGTCACAGCCCTGGCTTGGGGAACTTCTAGTTTTGGGCTTGCTCAAAAGCTTAAATACACCAGAGCCCAAAAGAGTGTGACACAGTACTGTCTCGGGGAGCTTCTAGGTTTGGGCTTCCTGAAGGGCTGCAGCTCTTTTCTCCTCCTTTTATCTCTCCTTCTTGTCACCTGCAATGTGGTGAGCAAGGGGCATATTTCAGCCTTGTTTGTGTTATTGCTATTTTAGCCCTACCATTCAGCAGGTCCCAAGTTCTTGTCCTGTGTCAAGGAAGAATGAGGTATGCAGACAATTGGATGGGGAGCAAGGCAAAGAGCAGCTTTATTGAGTGACAGAAGAGCTCAGAGGAGACCCATATTGGGTAGCTCCTTTCCACAGGCAGGGTGTCCTGAGAAGTGTTCAGCATTCAGCAGAGACAAGACCCTGGGGTGGGTAGCTCTTCTCTGCAGACACTTCATCCTGTCATCTCCTTGAGTCTGGCTGAGTCTGGGGTTTTTATGGTCTTTAGAGGGGAGGAAGTGTGTTCTGATTGGTCCATGGGTGACCATGGGCAGGCTGGGAAAAAGTACCAAGTTCCCACTCAGGTCAGAGGCACTGGCAGCCTGGGTGCCAGGCGTCAGGCCTTTCCCAGCTTGAACGAGGGGCTTCACTGGAGACCCACCACTTTCCACCCCAAAGCCTGTCTTCCTCTTGCCATTGTTCATGGCACCCCGGCTGCTTATGCTGAGGAGCACCTGCCAGCCAGTGCTGGGCTGCCCTCAGCATCCCATTTTCTTCCCTCCTGTGCTTGTTGGTGCCCAGAGTCCAGAGGGGGTCAAGGCAGCAGGGGGCCGGCATGTCAGTGCTGCCCTGAGCACGTGCACACCAAGCTGGGCTGCAACAGAACCCAGGCTTGGCCTCAACCTTGCTCCAAAATTGGAACAGGCACTGGAACCAGGCAGTGGGAATAGACACCTCCAAGCCTGTAGGGGCAGCGGTTGGGGGGCCTTCCTGGGCCCCCCAATGGTTCAGAGATGCACAGGTCTATAGACATGGCTTGTGGGGCTGGAACTGCACCCGAGAGGGTTGGGGGCTTCTGCCTGCTCCTGGGTCCCATTGGCTCTGTGGAGCATGTAGTCCAGCCGCACCTCCCTTGCTGCAGCAGGTGTCTTGGCAGTGGCGGCCCCAGGCAGGCTACCACTGCCATCAATTCCAGGACAGTCCTGATTGGATTCTATTTAGGAACACAAAATATCTCTAATCTCTTATTTTGATGTACATTCCAAAAACAAATGAGTATTTATTTGTTTTATTTTCGTTATTTAGCTTTTGAAAAATATTTATCTGAGATATTTGTGTACTTGTCCCATTTATTCTCAAAGTTTTATTTTTTGTGTGCAAGCACTGAGATATCCCTTTGGCAGTCATGAACATAATGTCTGTGTTTGATAAGGTTGCTTCAGATTTTAAGCCGGGGGCTTGCTTCCTAATTTACTCAGAAGAGGAAATAAACAAAAATTTTCATAGGATAATTCAGCCTGGAAGAAAAATACAAATTTAGAAAAAATCTGGCAGGTAACACAAAAGAAATATATTTTTGTTGACTCTACCTGAACAGTAGTTATTATGCTTTTGTGTTTTTTTTTTCTAGATTTTTTTTCTTCTCTAAAGACGTGATATTTTTTAACGCAAATTCGAGGAATTTCTAAGTTGTTGGTAAGATATTACTCCAAATTTATAACATCCTCTAATGTAAAGTTTTCAGGAATTACTTGATTTTTAAAATTAGTTTGAGTGAATGGTGATTAACATGTTTAATTTTATGCCATGTAAACTAAGTAGAATAATTATTATCAATAAAAATTAAATTCATTTTATCTTTATATACATCATATTCAAATAACACAAAATAACTCAGTTTATACTATAGCTATAAAGCACATGGAGTTATTCTGGGATTAATTCTCTTGGGTGAAATAAATATAGAATGATCTGAAAAGAATTATTTAATGACTACTGACAGACCATTTGGTTGAAGATACAAGTGAGTATCAAGTTCTTTTTTGGTTCTCTCAGTTGCTGGGTGGCTATCAAAAGCATAGTAAATTTCCATCTGGGAACAGGTATAATTTATTGATATATGCACCCTCATTAGACAGAATTACAAAAGGGAAAATTGAGACATTACAGATTTAGATAGCCTCACCTTGAAGTGGAAGTATTAGTAAGCTACAAACTATCTGACAGTATACAGAAAAATATAATACTCTATATTTGATTTTTTTAAATATAAGAAGTTAATTCATTCTAATTTTTAATGTAATATAACAGCTTGATAAATATACTGTTAATGACATACTAATGTTGGAAACATTTTTTAAAAGTTTTCAAACACAGAACACCCTAATTTTAGAACATGATTTCCTTTTTAAGTTAACTTGGATGAAACTCTTTTCAGACATTCTAAATTAATCTTGATTTCAATGACTGCCCATTCCACTTACCAGGGAATCTAGAAAAACAGAAATATGGCTTCAGCTTTCAGAAGCAAAACTTTTCTGTAGAGAAACAATAATAGCAAATAGAGTAAGAAAAAACTCAGAAATGAAATATATATTACTATGTATCTTTATTGTGATTTCAGTAAAGGGAGTATTTTTAGAACCAAATTTGATATCAAAATATTGCTATAAATAACAACTCTAATTGCTTTAGAAAAAAAGAGTAAGTGGAGATGATCTCCAGAAAACAAATACCAAATCTTACATTTTGAGATGTATTATATTGATTGAAAAATAATACTTAGGAACAAAATGTACAAAGCATCCCTACTCAAATTTTTTCTCTGTTCAAAGCTCAGTAATCAATTTGGTAGCATAGAATCAGGCAAACGACAAAAATAGAGTTACACCTATCTTTTATATGTTAAATTTATTTTTTAAAAAATACATTTTTTATACTCAAATTATAATCTCTTTTTGAAAAAGCACATGCTTAATGCTTTGCCTATAAAACATATATTTTATATGTAAAACATGATTAAAAAACACATTTTCCATGTTTACCTATTATTTAAAAATGTATTAAGTGACAATTTTACTCTGTTATTTCTAAGAACATAAATTTAACTTTGTAATATAGATTCATTCCATGCAATGTACTGCAAATAAAACTTTATTTGTTCATTGCTTAATAATAAAGACCCAGATTAATTAAGTTTTACAAGGCTTAACCAAAACATATGTACAGCAAATATATTGATCACAAGCTACATTTTGTAAATTAGTTGATTGTATAACTCGGCAGGGGTAGATACATATGGGGAGCAAGAGCATACGTGATGTAGAGGAAACATGAACGGGTTACTGAAAACTACTATTTCAAAAAGTTATTGGAAATCTGTGTTAAAATCTTATTTTAAAATCTAGCTTAATTTTAAAATGTAGCTAGCTATGAGATGGCACCCAAATATGTAACCTTTGTGTGTCAAATTTTTAATCTGTAAACCAAAGGACTGTGCTGGTCCCGTGTCTCAAAAAACCCCAAGGCTTCCAAAAAATTCTAGTTGTAAGGGTAGTGAGAATAAATTTATGGTCCCTGAATGTTTTTCTTAAAACGTTTTATTAAAAGAGTGCAATTCCTCTTTTGATTCTTCCTTTCAAGAAAGATTTAACTGGCTTAGACTCTTTTGATGTATTCCTCACTAGATTGTCTGCTTATTCGTTGCAGTTTTCTAATTCTATGACTCTCAATATATGTTGTTTAATTAAGCAAGCATAAAAAAATGAGAGCAGTTGAAATATGATAATATTAATACTATTGACAGGAGTGTCAATATTGAGTACATTTCAAGTAAAAGCAATATTTTTATGGCAAATTTTAAATCTGTTAACTGTAGAATCATTCATGAAGAATTTATTACCATACTAAATGACCATTCTTCATCACTAGTTACTGCCAGATGTTGATTGGTTTTCAAAGTTGTATTTATTATTCTCTAAGGGAGAAAAATAACCAAACATTTTTGAAACACTGTACTTAATTTTCTCAAGTAAGTTACAGAAATTATTAAAAATCATATCAAAAATTCTAAACACACTGACAAAGCCTTATTATGCAAATATTGTCTCATCAAAAAATATACAAAATACTTTCTTCTTATTTTAACCTCATAGTCAAGTGCTTTTTTTAAAAAAATTATTATGCTTTAAGTTCTGGGGTACATGTGCAGAATGTGCAGGTTTGTTACATAGGTATACATGTGCCATTGTGGTTTGCCGCACCCATCAACCCGTCATCTACGTTGTTTTTCTCCTAATGCTTTTCCTCCCCCTGCCCCACCCGCACCCCTGTCAAGTGCTCTTTTAAAGTTGGAAGTGCACTAGAAGATTAGAAACGTGGGCTGTATAGGTGGTGATAAACCAATACAAATCCAAATATAATGCGATAGGATCTTCATCTCCAATATAATAAAGAAGAAAAAGGTAATGTCTATTATATCCCAGAACAAAAGAAGGGTAAATCTCATCTCATGGTGAAAAGCAGGGCTTACAGCAGAAAAAAGGAGATGAATGAGAGCTTCCCCAAATAAAATGGTTTGATACATATTATTAAAAAACTGGATCTAACTGGATCTAAAATTTTTACTGATAAGTTTCGAAGAAGATTGTAGTTTGTGAATGGACTTGGACTAATTGGAGGGATATTGAAGTTCTGAGTGGATTAACAGAGAATGGGATACCACGGGAAAGATGAAAAATATTTTGACCTGGATGACTACTAGGTAGTCAAACTGGGTCAGGTACAACACCCCTCATTCCTCAAGCATCAAAGGAAGTTAAAAAATTGTGGTGGAATGAAAACAAATTTCTCACTTAAAATTAGAACATTCCCAGAAATAGATTCATCAGTATTGGCTATTGAAAAAAAAAATAAACAAGACCAACTAAACCAATTTGACCAAAACATTCATTAGCTCACGATACTGTCAAAGCAATACTTAAAAATAAGTTCTAAATACAATTTTGGATCAATTAAATGGATTCATTTTTACATGAGTGAAATTGACTGATCTTGTATTTGATCAAAGTAAACAAATAAACAAACAAAACAGGTTTGATGTTTACACACAGACACCAAGGTTATCAGTTGTAAACCTTCAGAAGTTAATTGATTCTAGATATTTTGTTCCTAATTTTGATTGGTGAAATATAAATTGCATTATTTTACAGCGACCTATTTTGTGACAATACCGGATATGACGGCAAAAAAAAAATACATATGGTGAAATGGGGGTAGGTGAATGTCAGGAAGAAAAACCTATCCTCGAAATTGCAACTTAGAGATATAAATTCTGTCAAATAGCATTTTAGCTCATCTAGAGGGATTTATATGATTTTAATTCTAGATGAATAAATATAATAAATTATACAAATGTGCTCTATAATTGTTAACTTTCCAGTAAGAAAACTGCTGTTAATGATATGTCATTCACCTCAATTATTTTTGGATTCTATTTGCTATTATTTTATTTAAAATTTTGTCTTTTCATAACTGATTTTGATCTGTAAATTTTTGGTGCAATTTTTGTCACGCTTTTGGCATCAATGCTTTATAGAGTTATTAAATAATATTTGAAAAATTATCAATTTTGCTGTATGCTTTGGAATAGCTTAAGTAGTGTTGGAATTATCTGTTCTTAACGATTCGGTTGGAATACTTTTACGAAGCTGTCTGAGGCTGCCTAGCATTTTGTAGGGAATAATTCACAGTCCAATTTTTCTGGTTCTTCTGTACACACCAACATGTATATTATTTCTCAACTCCAGGATAGATTTTAGGCAATTATATTTTCATGGAAAATAATGTGTTTGATTGCATTTTTCAAATATATTTGTATAGAATTAGAAAAACCAGTTTATTACAGATTTTCTTGTAGTTCTTTTTCTGCATTTCATTTTATGATCTTATATTTTCTTTCTTGCATCGTAATGAGAAAATACTACATGTATTATTTCTACTTTTGTATCATGTGTTTTTAAATTTCTTTTTGGCCAAATTTTAGTTATGTTTCATAGATCCTAAACAGAAAGTTGTCCTTTAACTTCAGGATCCAAAATTCATATGGAAGTAATAACCTCTATGTTATTATTTTTATAGCTCTTCTATATTTTCTTTATTTTTTTTTGATGTTCTGGTGACCCTTTCGTTATCTGAGAGAAGTGAATTAAAATATTCTACCATTATCATGTGTGTATTTATTTTCTTCTTGTATTTTGTCAGATAATTATGCTTTATGATCATAGGTACTTGGATATTTGGTTGGTAGATATTCACAATCTAAAGTCTGATTACAAAATACTTATTAGCCTTGTCGCTTTTTTAATCCTAAATTTCACCTCATTTAATAAACTGTAGATTAGAAAATAGGGTTGTATAAATATTAATTTGCTTATTTTAATTGTTCTGTGATTATATTTAAGAATATCTTTGAAAATATACATTGAAGTATTTCACATTAAACAGTCATGTTACTTACACCTTACTCAATGTTCATAAGTAATAATTTTTGTACTAGTTCAGATAAATGTAAAGATTGATAAATACATAAGATAGAAGGATAAATCAACTGAGTTAAAATGTAAACAATCTTTGAATCTGGATAAAGGGCATAAGAAAACTTTTTGTAATACAGTCATGCAGGACATGATGATGTTCCAGTCAATGACTAACCGCATATATGAGGCAGGTCTCATGAAAGAGAATGGAGCTGAAAAATTCCTGTTACCTAGTGATGTTATAGCTGTCACAACATTGTCCCATCACTACTCACATGTTTGTGGTGATGCTGGAGTAAACAATCTATGGTGCTGTGAGTCATATAAAAGTGTACAGTGTATCATACATGATAATGAGAATTAACAATTATGTTACTGATTTATTATTTACTATGAAATAATTTGTATTGTTATTTTAGAGTGTACACCTTCCACTAATACAAAAAAATGTTTACTATGCAAGGGTATGGCTGGCAGCAGCCTCATACATTTTGGGTTCCCCATATCTTTTGATTGCAGCACTTTATCTTGTGCTTGATTTAATCTCTTGTTTTGTTCACCATGGAGCCAAAGCATTTATGATACCTAACCATGGTCTTGCAATTTTTCTGTAACTTTGAAATTATATCAGAATAAAACATGATGAAAAAAACAGAACCGAACAAACATAAACCTCTGAGCCACCAGATAGAGTTTGGCATTTGCTGTGGTTTACTTGTGCCCTCAAATAAACTCAAGCTTTGTTGATGTTGCTGAAATTTGATGCTGTTCTTTTCTCTACAGCTCTCTGAATATCTATCTGGCCATAATCCTAGAATACAAAATTACAAGTTTTATTTGTAATACTGACAGCAGACACTAGTACTTAATAGAAGTGTTGAAAATATAATTTAATAATTAAATAATACTCAATACCCAGTCTTTACGTATTAGTCAACACATAATCGTTTCATTTTATATTGAGCGATCTTTTTCATTAACCGCATTATGAGCTAAAGTACTCTTTATGAGTTTTTTACCATAAAAGCTATACATGTTAGTATAAAACTAAGCTATCTTATGGAAAAGTAAGATTTGCAGATGAATGCACTATTATTTTCATTTCTTACTAAGTGCCAAGATATGATTTATTAATTATCATTTTTACCTCACATTTGAAACTCTATTTTATTTTCATATAAACACTTTGATTATTACTTTCCCTTAGTGATCTTCACTGCAAGCTAGCAAAATTAGCTAGGTTTACTAAATACTGACCTCATGCCCTCTGGATTCATCTGTGTTGTCACAAATGACAGAATTTCTTTCGTTTTATGCCTGAATAGTATTCCATTGTGCATATACTCCAGGCCTGTTCTCTCACACTGAGCCTCTAGACCTTCTCTGGCACCAATGGGATCACACAGCTCCAAGCTTTAGGCTTTTGTGACAGACTGGATCTCAGGCCCAGGCCACCATGGGGCTGACTTCAGCGGCCCTGGACTATGTAAATAATCTGTTTTTAAAATTCATTATTAATTAATGTTTTTATTGACTGATAAAATTATATGTATTTACTGTGTATATCGTGATGTTATGAAGTTCATATAGGTGCCACAGTTTCTTTCTCCATTCATCTATTGGTGGACACTTAGGTTGCTTCCAAATCTTTGTTATTGGGAATAGCACTGCAATAAACACGGGAGTGCAGATATCTCTTTCATATACTCATTTTATTTTCTTTGGATATGTACTCAGTAGTGGGGCCATTGGGTGTTGTCCTGGTGCTGGATTTGACTGTGGTGGGCCAGTGTTGGGGTTCACAACATAGTCTTGTTTGTGCTCACTTCCCTCTCCTTCCCCCAAGTAGATGGTATCTCTCTCTCTGCTATGCTCGCTGACATTAGGGGAGTGGTGACATAGAAAATTTGAAAGTGTCCTTCCTACCCTATGCAATGTGTCTTTTCTTATTGTTGTGCTACACCCAGGTACTGTGATCTCTCACCTGGTTTCCATAGGTTTTGTGAAGGTATTTTGGTGAGTGACTAGTTATTCAAATTGATAGTTCTCTGGAGAAATGGTCACTGGATTGTTCTACTCTATCATCTTGCTCTTCCCTGATGGGGAAAATTAAAAAAGCTTAAATAAAGAATAAAGATTTTATAAGTCTAAAAATACTGCTATAAAAATAAAATTATTGGAATACTTAAAACACTTCACTGCCAAAAAAGGAAAGCTTTTGGAACACTGAATTGTAAAAGCTATTTTGTTGTTTTTCTTCTGATGACATTGTCAAATATATTTACATATATTGACTATGGCTAGCTTGAATTGTTTGGAAAAGATTCTAAACTGGAATTTGAAGTACATATTTGTGAAGAAATAAAAGCAACATCGAAAAATTATTTTTCCTTATGAAATAAGTTATTCAGGATACTCCTAAAGAACATGAGATATAGCTCTCTTGAGGAAAACTGCATTTAACATTCCATTTAAAGACTAAAGGAACATTCTCCTCAATAACACAAGTAGATAATAAAATACAAATACAAAAATCTCTCCAGGCTTTAAAAAAATACACAACTGTGGACTTATGTTTTTCTTTCTACCTATTCTTTGTAAAAAGTCAAAATCCCACTTGTTTCAATGTTTACAAAGAGTTACTAAAAATCGACAGGGTCTGTTTATTTCCTCTTCTGCATTACCTCCCATTATCTTCATATCCTTTAGTTTTCTAGATTCAAGATTTGAAGAACGGAACCCTATACCATTTGCTTACATATTTAGAAACAGATCAACTGACCCTGTCGAAAGGGTCTTACTGTAGTCTGTCAGTATTTCAGTCAGTCAGTTTATCTCTGCATGCAAATTTATGAAGTTATAAATTGTATGCAGAGGTAATGAATACACGTACTTAAACACATATGAGCATTTTAACCTTTATTATGCATTTTCTGCATATTGGAAACATGTTTGCATAGAAATTATAATGTGTATTACATATATGAATAATATATAATAAATCCCATAACTATATGCCTTAACAGACAATATGTCTACATAATCGGATAAATGCAGTCTTGAAAAGTCTCACACTTTAAAATCTTAATAAAATCAACAAGAGCAACAACAACAATAATAATGAAGGAGGAAACATAGTATGGCTAACCTTTTGTTAAAAACCCAACCTTGTGCTAGAAATCTAGAACTCTCTACAAACAGGAAAGCTCATACAAAACTGAGAGGCATTCACTTTAAGTCCCCTACCTTCAAAGAAACAGTTGAAGTTAGAATAACCTCACTGATACCAGTTGGATTAGCATGTCAGGATGTATTCTATTAAGAAGTCACAACTCAAACTATTCATGTGGGGACCAGAAAATATTATAGTGAAACACAAATAGAGATTATCATATAAGTGATATCAATGCATTACAAAATTGAATAGGAATACAGAGTAGAACCAATATCACATAAATTTCAGGATTAATATTCAGAAAATAAGTTTTAGAATTTCAGTCAGAATTCACAGAAAATTATAAAAAGTTGAAAACAAAGTGAAAAGGACAGAAATCAAGTATGGATAACAGAGTTTCCTTTTATAGATAACTGAATTCCTATATTTATAAGTAAAATAAGTTGATCTTAAAAAATAAAAAACAACAACTATAACAAAAAAGTGAAGAGCCAATAAAAGTTAATTCTTATACGAAGGCAAATTATGAAATATCAAAATACCAACATTTACGGATAATATTATTGTGGAATCAGAAAACTTAGAAATATTCTGAATGCCATTTATACTCAAGGATAAAGAAATTATTGTTTATGTATTCAGGATCAGGTGAAAATATTGAGTTATTCTTAAGCTAAAATGGTCTAGATTGTATTTAGGCTATTTCATAACTACGTGTTAGTCCACAATAATACAATAGGATAACCACAACAAAACTTTGAAGAAAGTAGATCCAATAAGTTATATTTCAAATATAGAAGCCAAAATATATTCTCATATATCTATGGGCTCAGTAACTATAAAATTTATGAAAATCTTAGAAAAAATATTCAGCAATTTAACACGAGTAAGCAAAATTTACCTGAATAATTCAAGAAGAGTGATTGTATTAGGAAAAAAAAACATTTTTTTAATAGGCACTGGAGTAAACTCAGTGTAAAAGTTAGTTTACATAACTGATAATTTTGACTAAAATATAACTGGCACCCCTATATTAATACAACTACATAATAAACATAAATCCTTGAATATTACTGCGAGTAGGGAAGAAGAACAAATTTCAAATATGTATGTTGTGATATTGATGAGGATTTATACATACCATTGAAAGTTTAACAATTTGGCATAAGTAGAACCAAAAATATATTATTTCAAAATTACTACTGAGGAATATGAATAAACAAAGCAAAACAGAATAAGACACACTTAGACAGGTACACAAATATAATGCAGATAATAGACAAAAAAGCAACAATACAAAAAACTTTAAAAATAATAAAAATATTAGATGAAAACATATTTATGTGACTTTAACATACAGAGAAAATATAAATTATATAATATAATTGTTAAAGAAAATATTTAATATTTGTAGGTAGAATTTGAGTCTACAATTTCTCAAAAAATTTTAATTAAGAAAATACAAACTAAAATGGTACAACTATTCATAAAACTAAACATTCAACTACGATACAAACCAGTAATTACACCCTTGGTCATTTATTCCAGAGAAATAAAACATATGTTTATGCTGAAAACTGCACATGAATGCTATAGCAGGCTCCTATATAATAATCCCAAATTGGTTTTCCAGTCCAGGTATCTATCCTTCAACACATGGATGGCGAAAGGGTGGTACATCCACACCATGGTTTCCTACTTAGCAATAAACAGAAATAAACTATTGATACATGAAACAACTTCAATAAATACATTGCTAAGGGGCAAAAGCTAAGCATCAAAGGTTACAAACTTTATCATTCTTTTTATGCAATATTTTTGAAATGGTAAATTTTAGAAATGGAGAACAGACTAATGGCCGCTATTAACAGATGGGGATAGAATGGGTATGGTGAGAGACAGGCAGATGTGTTAATAAATGAGCAACACAAGGGATTTTTATGGTGGAAGGACTGTTCAGCATTTTGATTTTGGTCTTAAGTACATGCATCTACACATGAGATAAAATTACATTGAGCGAAATATGCACATAAATAAACAAACACAAATAAGTAAACTAGAAAATCTTAATACATTGTTGAATATTATCAATATCAATTGTCTGGTTTGGTATTGTACTGTCGTTTGCAAATTTGTTCCATTGGGAGAAACTGGGTAAAGTGTACATAGAATTTCTCTGTATGTTTTTTTCTAACTTTTATTTTAGATTCATGAAGTATATGTGCAGGTTTGTTACAAGAGTATATTGTGTCTGGAATACAAATGATCCAGTCACCCAGGTAGTGAGCACAGTACATGATAGGTAGCTTTTCACTTCTCACCCCTCCTCCTACCCTCTCCCCTCCAGTAGTCCCTACTGTCGACTTTCCCATCCTTGTGTTCATGTGTACTCAATGTTTAGCTCCCACCTATAAGTGAGAACATGTGCTTTCAATTTTCTGGTCCTGTCATTTGTTAGGATAATAGCCTCCAAGTGCATTCATGTTGCTGAAAACAACATGATTTTGTTCTTTTTTATGGCTGCCTAGCATTTAATGATGCATATGTACCACATTTTCTATATCCAGCTCACTGTTGATGGGCAACTAGATTGATTCCATGTCTTTGCTTTTGTGAATAGTGCTGCGATAAACATACCAGTGCATGTGTCTTTTTGGAAGAACAATTTATTTTCTTTCAGGTAGACACCCAGTAGTGGGGGTGTTGGGTCAAATGGTAGTTCTAAGTTCTTTGAGAAATCTCTGAACTGCTTTTCATAGTGGCTGAACTAATTTGCCATCTCACGAAAAGTGTATAAGTGCTCCCTTTTCTCTGCAATCTCCCAAATATCTGTTGTTTTTTGATTTTTTAATAATAATCCTTCTGACTGGTATGAGGTAGTGTCTCATAGTGGCTTTGATTTGTATTTCTCTAAAGATTTTTGATGTTGAGCATTTTTCATATATTTGTTTTCTGCATGTATGTCTTCTTTTGAGAAGTGTCTGTTCATGTCCTTTTACCATTTTGTAATGGGATGATTTTATTTTACTTTAATTTTGTTTATTGAATTAAGTTCCTTATAGATTCTGGATATTAGATCTTTGTTGCATGCAGAGATTGTGAATATTTTCTCCCACTCTCTAGGTTTTCTGTCTACTCTGTTGGCAGTTTCGTTTGCTGTACAGAAGCTCTTTAATTAGATCACACCAGTTTTTGTTTTTGTTGCAATTGTTTTAGGGGACTTATTCATAAAATTTTGCCAAATTCATGTCCAGAATCATATTTCCTAGGTGTTTCTCAAGTATTTTCATAGTTTTAGGGCTTACATTAAAATCTTTAGTCTATATTCAGTTAACTTTTCTATATGGAAAAATTTAGAGGTCCAGTTTTATTTTTCTGCATATGACTAGCTGATTATCTCAGCACCATTTTTTGGATCTGTGTATGAATCTACAATTATCTTAACTCTTGATTAAAAAAGAAAACTCATACTTACCTGGCAGGGGAGATACCATGATCACAAAGGTGGTTTTCCCAGGACGAGGCTTATCCATTGCACTCCAGATGTGCTGACCCCTGCGATTTCCCCAAATGTGGGAAACTCAACTGCATAATTTGTGGTAGTGGGGGACTGCATTCGCGCTTTCCCCTGAGAAAAAATAAAGAAAAACGAAAACTCTCAAATAAAGTTAATATAACAAGGATTAAAATACCTAAGAAAAACTGAATACAAGTTTTTGAAAAAACACCACACAAAAGTGTTTATATGGGCTGGGAGTGGTGACTCATGCCTGTAATCCCAGCACTTTGGGAGGCCAAGGCGGGCAGATCATGAGGTCAAGAGAATGAGACCATCCTGGCCAACATGGTGAAACCCCATCTCTGCTAAAATACAAAAATTACCTGGGCCTGGTGGTGAGCACCTGTATTCCCAGCCTCTTGGGAGGCTGAGGCAGGAGAATTGCTTGAAGCAGGGAGGCAGAGGTTGCAGTGAGTGAAGATTGAGACAGAGCGAGACTCCATCTCAAAAAAAAAAATAGTGTTTATATGTCCTGGAATGAGAGAGAGATGGAGGAGGGAAAAAAAGATGAAAAAATGGGAGGAAGAAAAGGAGGAAAGGAGGAATAAAGGAAGGAAATAAGGAAAGGAGAGATAAAGAAAGAAAAACACATTAAAAATGTGTTTGTACATTTTCTTTGCAAAACCTAAAATATGAAAGGCAGGTTTGCAATACCTAAAATAAAAAAAAAGAAAGAGAAAGAGAGAAAGGATTATGATAGATATTAAGATTGCTTAAAAGAAAAATATTCTATTAACCCCATTTGAAATATGAAATAAAAAAATGAGTAAAACTTAGGAAAGTAAAGAAAAATTATAACTTCTCAAAGTGCTAATTACAGGCACAATGACATGAAAAATCTACTGTATGAATTTAATTTGCATAAGTACAAAGAGCTGATTGTTAATCACCAAGACAATGGGAAAAATGTCTCCAGAGACCTTTGCAGCAGCCGCTCCCATCACAGGCCCAGAGGCCTCTGAGGAAAAAAATGGTTTCATGGGACAGACCCAGGGGACCCCTGCTGTATGCAGCCTAGGGACTTGGTGCCCTGCATTCCAGTCACTCTAGCCATGTCTACAAGGGCCAAGGTATAGCTCAGGTCATTGTTTCAAAGGGTGCAAGAACTAGCCTTGGCAGCTTCCATGTGGTATTGAGCCTGCAGGTGTGCAGAAGTCAAGAATTGAGGTTTGGGAACCTCCATCTAGATTTCGGAGAATGTATGGAAATGCCTGGATATGCAGACAGAAGTTTGCTTCAGGGGCAGAACCCTCCTGTAGAACCTCTGCTAGAGCAGCGAAAAAGGGATATGTGGGGTTGGAGCCCCTACGAAGAGTCCCCACCGAGGCACTGCATAGTGGAGCTGTGAGAAAGAAGAAGGTCACTGTCCTCCAGACCCCAGAATGGTAGATCCAATGACAGCTTGCAACATGCACCTGGAAAAGCTGCCGACACTCAACATCAGCCCATGAGTGCAGTCGGAGGGGGGCTGTACCCTGCAAAACCACAGGGGCAGAGCTGCCCAAGGCAGCGGGGCCCACCTCTTGCATCAGTGTGACCCAGATGTGAGACCCAGAGTCAAAGGGGATCATTTTGGAACTTTAAGGTTTAATTACGGCCCTTTTAAATTTCAGACATGTATGAGGCCTGTAGTCATTTGTTTTGGCCAATTTCTGCCATTTGGAATGGGAATGGGTGTATTTACCCAATACCTATATCCCCATTGCATCTAGAAGAAACTAATTTACCTTTGATTTTAGAAGGTCATAGGCAGAAGAAACTTGCCTTGTCTCAGGTGAGACTTTGGACTTGGACTTTTGTGTTAAGGCTGGAATGAGATAAGCCTTTGGGGGACTGTTGGGAAGGCATAATTTTGTTTTTAAATGTGAGGACATGAGATTTGGGAGGAGCCAGGGGTGGAATGATATGATTTGGCTGTGTTTCCACCCAAATCTCATCTTGAATTTTAGTTCCCATAATCCCCACATGTTGTGGGAGGTACTCAGTGGGAGGTCATTGATTAATGGGGGCAGTTCCCTTCATGTGGTTCTTGTAATAGTGAGTGAGTTCTCATGAGATCTGATGGTTTTCTAAGGGGCTTTTCCCCCTGGTTGTCATGCACTTCTTCATGCTGCTGTCATGTGAAGAAGGATATGCTTGCTTCCCCATCTGCTATGATTGTAATTTTCCTGTGGCCTCCCCAGCCCTGCTGAAATGTGATTCAATTCAAATTCTTTCCTTTATAAATTACGCAGTCTTGGGTATTTCTTCATAGCAGTGCGAGAACGAACTAATACATTAGGGGTCCACTTTTATTCTTCTGCTTATGGCTAGCCAGTAATCACAGCACCATCTTCTAGAACTGTTAGTGAATCCATAATTATTTTAAATTTTAATTTAAAAAGAAAACTCTAAAATAAAGTTAATATAACAAAACATTAAAATACTTAAGAAAAACTGAATACAAGTTTTTGAAAAGAAGTTCTATATAAAAGTGTTCATATGTTCCTGAATGAGAGAGAGCTACAAGACGGAAAAAGGAAGAAAGAAAAAAAGAAAAAATAAGTGGATGGAAAGAAGAAGGAAGGAAGGAAGGAAAAAGAAAGAAAGAAAGAAAGAAAGAGAGAAAGAGAGAGAGAAAAGAAAGAAAAGAAAGACGTTAAAAGTTTGTGTGCACATTATCTTTGCAAAACCTAAAATAAGAAAGAAAGATTTGAAATACCTAAAATAAGAAAGAAAGAGAGAAGGAAAGAAAGAATGAGAGAAAGAAAAAAGAAAGAAAGAAAGAGAAAAAGAAAAAAGAAAGAAAAAGAAGGAAAGAAAGAAGGAAGGAACGAAAGAAGGAAAGAAAGAAAAGAAAAGAAAAGAAGGGTTATGATAGATATTAAGATTGCCTAAAAGAAAAATGTTCCATTAACCACATTTGAAATATAAAACAGGAAAAGAAATAAGTAAAACATAGAAGAAGTAAGGAAAAATTATAACTTCTTAAAGAGCTGATTGCAGGCACAATGGGATGAGAAATGTAGTATAAGAATTTATAAATGGTCTTATGAAAAGTGGAAGAAATGAAGACCATAGCAGCTGTGCATATTTTTCTCAATTTGTTATAATTAACCAAATTCTACTTTTCTTCTTCATTTTTCTGTACTATTATATTTTATGAGGTAAGGTTTGGGTGGTTAATCCCATAATTTATTCTTTATTGCATAGGATATCACAGGTGTATCAGTACCAAACTGGAAAGCAAGACTATCTTTTAGAAATAAAAAAAAAATTAAAGACATTTTTGATTTTTATTTGTAGATGAAAAGGGTGAGTACTGCAGTATTTTTACAGGAGATATTCCTGTTATGTTAGGTAGAAGCATCTATTTGACTACTATTTCTGAAAAGTTTATAAATGTAGAAGGGCTATACAGATGCAGAGTAGCCAAAAGTTTGGACAGCGCTAGCCTCTGTCTTAGCAACTAGGCCTCATTTCACCCTGTGTGTCTTCCCTGTGTTAACAGAGGCTAAGCCTGGGAATTACATGTTTCAGGTTCTCAGATTCACTTCCACTAATGGAACACATTTTGTGAGATGGGAATGGAGGAAGACAACAATGGGGCCATTTTTATTTATATCAGTCCTGGTGGGAAGCAGACCTGGTTTTGACACGTGGTTAATGTCACATTGTCCTAGGATCTTTTTACTTTCCTTCTGAGAAACAACCATTGAGGTGCTGCAGACAGTCGTTGTTATCATCACTGGTTTTTGTGATTCCTACTTATTGATTTATTGAACACTCATAACCACCTCTCTGTCTCCTGCTTCCCTAGTTCCCCCAATGGATTTGTAAACCTCCAATACTTAAAATAAAGTTCCTTCCTTCTTGTGATTCCTGAAGTGTTTCTATTGTTCTGGCCAAACTCTAAACTGGTATAGAAATTGTATTACAAGTCCTGACATTCTCATTGAACTTATTGGATTGGATCAATACACTTCACAGTTTCAAAAGCAGAGGTGAAGAATATTGGATGCCTTGTGAAATACTGTGGGCTTCCTGAAATAGAAAGTTTTTAATAAATGATTTCAGTTGCTAAATTTAATGACAGACAAAAAATTATTCTCTTGTGTAAATATTTTCTTCATATTAGCAAAGAAACGTTTCAAGTTCCTGTATCAATACATTTATATACGAAGTACTGGAACTATTAAAATGTGTTTGCACGAAACAGGAAAATACATGCATTTGACAAATTATTGTTTTTTTGCTTCAAGTGATTTAAGCTTAATTAATTATGAAAAGTCTTTCATTGACTATGTAATTGAATTTTGAAAACATCACCATAAAAATGTGTTTAAATTTTTCATAGTAATGCCTGTACTTTGAACATGTTATCAATTTATTTTAAATGGAAAATTAAAAACAAAACATATATAATTTGAAATACACTGTCAGCAAAGAAACACTGCTCTTTTTTAGGCAAGCAATACTTTTTTTTTAATTTCTGGAGAGAACATTAATGATGGAAAAATGTTTATTGTAGTGGATGATTTTTCACAATAAAATTGAATTTTGAAATAAAGGTGTACATTAAATATGTATCATTCAATTATTCAAAAGCAAAAATTGAGTCCATTGAAAAATGATTAAAAAGCATAGGTACATAATGTAATGAAAAGTAAAAATGTTTTTGTACCATACCTAACATATATATACACACACATATGTATATATACCTTATATAATGTATGTATACTTTTGTCTAGGGGAAAGAATATGCATCAAATATATACCAAGCATGGGATTTTGAACAATTGAATTACTGAGCAATACTAGTAGAAGTGGTTGATGGATTTCCAAGCTTTGGAAGGAGACATACACTTAGGGATTTAGAAAGTTGAGGAAAAATGTCATGAACATGGATGATATGAGAATCACATTGCTGAACAATAAGGGGAAGCTATATATGGAGTATTGAAAAATAATACTCCAAATAATTTGGATAAAATAAAGTTATTTGGGGGACTGAGCATCCAAAAGAAAAGAAGAACAGTTTTGTACTCTGCAGGCTCTCTTTTTTATAACCTTATATTCATAGGTAATTGGGAATATTTGCACATCCACCTATATAGAATGTGTACCTTCCAATCGTTACTACAAGCATTAAAAAATACAGAAATATACATATACATATAGGAAGGTATACGTGAAACACAATTCTACTAATCAATATAAATGGTTTACTTTACAAATTCACTATTACTTTAGAAAGATTGAGAGAATATTCAATTAAGTTTAATTCCAATGCTAACTACTTTTTGATGTTTAGAATACCTGATGTTTGGTCTGATATACATGACATTGCTCTTGGAGATGGTTAAATTATATACTTAAAAGAAAAATAATTAGGATATTGAAGAAATATCTGCATTCTCATGTTAGTTGTGGCACTATTCAAAATAGCAAAGATTTGGAAGCAACCTAAGTGTCCATCAACATATTAAGGGATAAAGAAAAGATGGTATTTATACACAATAAATTACTATTCAGCCATATAAAATAATGAGATCCTGTTACTTGCAACAACATGAATGGAACTGGAGGTCATTATGTTAAGTGAAATAAGCCAGGCACGGAAAGACAAATGTCACATGTTCTCACATATTTGTGAGAACTAATAATTAAAAGAATTGAACTCATACAGATAGAGAGTAGAATATGGTTTCTGGAGTCTGGGAAGGGTAGTGGGGGGTTAGAAGGAAGTGGGGATGGTTAATTTGTAAAAAAAAAATAGAAAGAATGATTAATATCGAGTATGTGATAGCACAGCAGAATGACTATAGTCAATCAACTATAATTTAATTGCATATTTTTAAATAACCAAAAGAATATCATAGAATTGTTTGAAACACAAAGTGTAAATGCTTGAGGGTATGGATACCCCATTTACCCTGATGTGATTATTACAGATCATATGCCTATATCAACATATTCAATATATCCCATAAATATATACACCTACTATGCACCCACAACACTTAAAATTAAAAATAAAAATGGATTGATATAAATTTTCATGTACCTTTATATTATTTTTCCTTTTCCATAAACATTTAGGGTAAATAAATAGAAACATTTTAACCAATTAAGAAGTAAAATTTGAAATCTAAATTCATTTACCTTCGATCAATTTATGGGCCAACTTTTTTAATAGCTCCCAAGCAATTTAAAAGTGTAAAATTCCTTAGGCAAAATTTGTTTTATGGCAAAAAGAGTGAATGCATCTCAGATCAAACTCCTTAACAAGAAGTTATGCCAAAATATTATAGCTCCATGACTGATACCTTCTGTAAAAACATTACATTAAAGTCCAATATTTTGTTACAATTAGACTACAATGATTTCTTTAATAAAGAGTTGTTAAAAACATTTACTGATGTTTAGTATTATATTACAAGTTAGCATATATGTCTTTAGCTTTTTTATTTATCCATAATTATATATTTAATATAAATATGAAAAATAACTATATGCAATTATTATTTTTATATTCCCAATTACTGTATTTATTTAAAATAGTGTAATTTTAATGTATTATAGTACATCATTTACAAAAGCGCTTATAAATGTAAAGAAATAGCAGTGGGTATATAATAAGTGCTCAAATAATATTATCTAAATCAAAAGATTGCTTTTACAGCAATGTTATTTTTGAAATAGAGTAGAAAGTCCTCTTAATATCTAAAATAGAAACAATATAGATGCTATTAATTATAATATTGCTCACATTTTACTCAGATTATACCCAAAATATAGTTACTATGAATTTAACCAGCATTATTAAAAATTGTCTACTTTCTCATAATAAAAAGATTGCATTAAGAATATACAGTTAAGTAGTTCACTGTTGGGAATTATACTAAGTGATACTATACTAGGTGATTGTCTTTGAGTAAGGAAGGTACCATAATGAAAGTTTTTAACATAATAAAAGTTTAAGCAGTAAGACAACCTGAAATGTCTGTCTAAGACAAATCAGATTTCGCCTCATATAAGTGCTATATAGCACTACATAGTGCAGTGGTTCCTTTGGCTTTATCATATAACTGATAGAAGAATTTAAAAAGATATGCTGTTGAATTATCTACCATGGTTTCCAAAGTGTGTCATCTGGACCAGCAGCATATGTATCAAGTGATCTAGGAACGTGTTAATAATTGAAATTCTCAGTGTCTTTCACAGACTACTGAATCAGAAGCTCAAGATGGGTTCCAGCAATCTGTTTTTGTTTGTTAGCTCTGTGAAAACATTCTTATATAATTTTTATTTACTTATTTATTTTTTACATCATAATACAATTTGTTTATTTTTTAACTTTAGCTTGGGCTACATGGGCAGGTTTGTTTTATAGGTAAATTACGTGTGTCCTGGTGATTTGATGTACAGATTATTTTGTCACCCGGGTAATAAGCATAGTACCCAATTTGCTTTTTTTCAGTCCTCTCCCTTCTCCCACCCTCCGCCCTCAAGTAGGCCCCAGTGTCTGTTGTTCTCCTCTTTGTGTCCATGTGTTCTCACTGTTTAACTCCTACTTGTAAGTAAGCATATGTGGCATTTGGTTTTCTGTTCCTGTGTTAGTTTCTGTAGGATTATGGCCTCTAACTCTACCTTTGTTGCTGCAAAGGACATGATCTCATTCTTTTTTATGGCTACGTAGTATTCCATGGTATATATGTACCACGTTTTATTTATCCAGTCTACCGTTCATGGGCACATGGCTTGATTCCATCAATAGTGCTGCGATGAAGATACACATGCATATTTCTTTATGTTAGAATAATTTATATTCTTTTGGCACTGTTTTAACCAAATCCTCCTGGTGATTCTAATGAGGACTAAAATTTGAGACTCACTGGTCTGGATTAAAGAAGAAGGACCTAAGTGAATTTTATTCCTTCTTTCTCTAGGAAATTTTTCTCATGCCACAGCATGAAGTAGTAGTAGGAGAAAGGGAGTCTCCGACAAACACAGGTGTGTATCTATCCCACCCCCAGATGGTGCTAATTTACCCAGTATTGTGGACAGTAGAAATGAGGGAAAATATTTTTGAACCCTATTTGAGGAAGATGAAAATGAGTTTGATTCCTGGCCCGGCGCGGTGGCTCAGGCCTGTAATCCCAGTACTTTGGGAGGCCGGGGCGGGCGGATCACGAGGTCAGGAGATCGAGACCATCCTGGATAACACTGTGAAACCCCGTCTCTACTAAAAATACAAAAAATTAGCCGGGCATGATGGCGGGCATCTGTAGTCCCAGCTACTCGGGAGGCTGAGGCAGGAGAATAGCATGAACCCCGGAGGCGGAGCTTGCAGTGAACCGAGATCGCGCCACTGCACTCTAGCCTGGGCGACAGAGCGAGACTCAGTCTCAAAAAAAAAAAACATAAAATAAAAATAAAAAAAATAAAAAAGAAAGAAGAAAAAAGAGAGAGAAAATCAGTTTGATTCCTCGGCTACTTTGGTATATCTGGAAGGATATTCTGAAAAAAGATCCTTACATTACATGAAATTTCAATATTGTATTACAATTATACACAAGATCCTAACTTCTTGGAAAAAGATGCTGGAAAATTAGAATGAATGTAAATATCCTATTTGAGATGATAAAACTAAAATTTACTAGAGCAAGAAATGGCATTGCTTAACAGTTAGCCACTTTAGCCACTTTAAGCCCACCATATTTCCTTTCACAACATTAGTATGGTGAGTGTGCAGCTATTTCCCCTCGCTAGATCCAGATTCCTGCTGCTCTTTAAAGGAGGACAGGTGTGTGCTGGCTGCCAAATAATAGGCTGAGCGGGTGGATTTCTTAGCATATGTTTGGCTCTGGATACTCAAATCCGCATAATTGTTATTTGCTAAAGCTATTATTTTTTAACAGAATATTTCTGTATTCTTTAAGTTTTATTTACATAACAATAAGATTCTGGTGGAAGAACACAGAGATTACAGTATAAAAATAAATTAAAGTGGAAGCAGAATATGAGATAAAGACATATCCTTACCACTTAGAATTCTTTAAGGGAAGGGTGGAGAATTCTGTGGGAAAAGGGAAAAGGCTTTACTTTGGTATGTTAAGTCTTACTCATCTTTTAATTCAATACCTATTTATTGACAGCTTACTAAGTGATAGGTACTTTTTTGGAAGCCTAGGAAGAACACAAAAAATCTCTACTCTTCTGAAATTCACATGAAATTGTTGAAAGTCACATAATACCTAATAATCACAATAAATAATTGAATTATATAGTGTTTTAGAAGGTGAAAAGTTTTATGAAAAGAACAACATCAGTTTGGTAGAAGACTCAACAGAGAGTTAAGCCTCTGTAACCAGGGCTTAGCAGGGGAAATTTTCAATACATTTAAAAAGCTCTGTAATAGCAGAGTAGAAGAATAACTAACATAATATGCAGGTAGTACAATAACAAAGGATAAGAGAGAACCCGATTTGATGAATCGAAGGGCAGTCTTTTAACATTCAGCTTGGCATGAGATAAGCAGCCTAGAATCCATGATTCCCAACATGCTCCATTTTTAAGAAATACTGAGTGTTGTTGAATAGGGAAAGGTCTGCCATTGGAATGAAAAGATAGCAGCATGTGTATGTCACAACTAGAGGTTAAAGCAGGGCTTATGGGCCTCTGCCAGGGATGGGTTTGTGTGGCTCCTTAAAACCAGGCAGGACAAGTACCATGATTTGGATGTGTTCCCTAAAGTTTATGGGTTGGAAACTTAATCCCTAGTATAATAGTGTTGAGAGGTGGGGCCTTTAAAAGGCGATTAGGTCATGAGGGCTCCACCCTCATAAATAGACTAATGCTGTTATCACCAGAGGGGCTATAAGGTGGCAGAAGTGGGTGTTTTGTAGAAGGATTAGTCCAGCTACCTTCTCCTCTTTCTCAAGCACTTGTGCTATTGCTTTCCTGCCTGCCTCCATGGAATGATGTTGCAAAAAGCCCTCATTAAAAGCAGGCTGCTAGATGTTGGACTCCCCAGCCTCCAGAACTGTAAGAAATAAATCATGGTTCTGTAAAAATTACCCAGTCTGAGTTATTCCATTATTGTAGCACAAAGTGGACTAAGACAACGAGTTCAACACACGTCCAGAGGCTAGGAAGAAGTGACAGCCATCTGCTGATGCCACCTTAGGTTTAAGCCGCCTGGTCCTTAGAATAGAGTACAAGAAGAATAAAGAGGGATGAATACAAGCCTACTTTCAGAAAACATTTTAAAATAATACTTTGCATACAGAATTGGAAGAAAAATATTATAGAGAGCAATTAAAGTGTTTAAATGATCTGAGAGAGAAGATAGACAAGAAAGAACATATAAATTTCAGAAGATAAAATTTTTAACTGAGAGATAATTATTTCTGCATTTTTTTTTTGTATCTCAGTTCTACTTGTTGTCTGCTTTGGTCTTTTAAAACCAAAATTCTCAATTTAAAGCAGATTTTACAGCCATCATTCTAACTACTCAAGGAGATATTACATTACCATTTTAATCAAGTGTGTTTATTTTTTAGAATTGATACAGAAATACTTTAATAGTGGTGCACATTCATGTATGCCCTTAAAGAAGAGTACTGTACTTCTGAGCTATTTGTGAAATTTTTAGCCTAATGGAAATACAACTGGTGTATATATATTTATAAATTATACATATACATATAACTAGTGGGGGAATATACCTTTGGCATTTTGAATTATGATAGAAAAATGAAGGAAGTAGAGGTAGTGTTTATCTGTTTCTGAACAGTGATAATTTCTCTTTGCAGGTCATTCTTGAAAGTTAAGTATATTGACAAAAATGTTTCATTTTTGTGTAATTCTTCATCACAAATTGTATAAAATGAATTTATTTACAATATTCAGACAATTTCAAAACACTTTCCAATCTCTTTCCTTTGAGATACACTTCTTATTTTTCATGTGTATTTCTAGCATTGCTTGGATAATCCAATTCAGCATATTCTAAGCCTGGAGAGGTTGTCTTATTTTCATATTAGATTTGTTTAATCCATCACTGATATATGTATATAAAGGCTCACCCACATGTCTTGCATTTTTATAGCAATTCATCTTACATTTATAGGACATCAAAAATGGAAATTAATTGAGAATATCCTGCAGGCAACTTTCTAGTGAACAGAGAGAAGAATCTATATCCATATATTATTTCTTCAATACCTTTCTGAGCAAGTTGTTTAATGAAATATAAATTATCTATGAAAGTTCTTTTTACTTTTGTGCTCTAAATGACTTTATTCTCTGTGGCAAATATTTCTTTTAAAAGACTTTTGTTCATTTTTTTAAGTTCTAAAATGTGAAATTTCAAATATATTAAAAAGGTTTGACCTGCTTGTGAAATGCTCGTAATAAGAGGACTTGTTAAAGCACAACTTAAGTCTTGTGTTGTTACTTTAAACTTTAAAAAAAAAGGATATGAACATGTTAAGTGCACAGCAGCTGGTGACTTTGGGAACAAATGCTTTAGAGTAAACATTAATCTAATAAGCAGATTCCTCCTCCTCATCCTCCTTCTTCTTCTGTTTTTTTGAAGAGAGGAAGTCTGCATTTAACAAGAAATACAACAGAGCAAAACAGGGTGTGTGTAGTATGAAAAATGTCCTTCTATGAACTAGGTAAAATGCTGGGTAAGATGCAACACGTACCAGCCAGGTAATCCAAGCTACTTGGAAGGATCACTTGAGGACAGGGGTTGGAGACCAGCCTGGCCAACATAGTAAGACCCCATCTCTACTTTTTTTGTTTTAAGATGCAACACACATCATAATTATTATATGTTTCAGCTAAAAATACTCTTGAGGAAAACCACAGGAAACAGCTCTAAAGAGAAAACAGCAATCAGAATGTTGCATAGAATTTAATTTTTGCTTTGTACAGCTGGAGGAAGACAAGTAAGACCTTGGTCTGTTCAAGATAGAGAATTAGAAGTGAGATCCTTGCATGAAGTCAGGGCTGTAAAAAATAATACATCTTAGGGAGAAGCTTCAATTAGAAAAAAGATCCAGTTACCTAGCAAGGGAAATCAGAATGAAACTCTTCTGCCTGAATTCCAGCTTTGGGTGGGGAAAACATCCATGAAAATTTAAATTCATTGTTCTGTATTCACAGAGGATTGTGGCAGAAATTTCATTATTTTATCATCCAGGAATTCACAAGCAGATTAATTAATATAAAGGAAGTTTGAAATGGTAGTGTTCCAGAGTAAACAGCAAAAGCAAGTATACATCCTCTAAAGAAAATTCCCGGGTGGGCCGGGTGGCTCACATCTGTAATCCCAGCACCTTGGGAGGCTGAAGCAGGCGGATTACCTGAGGTCAGGAGTTCAAGACCAGCCTGGCAAACATGGCGAAACCCCATCTCTACTAAAAATTAAAAAAAAAAAAAATTGCCTAGTGTGGTGATGCATGCCTGTAAGTGGAGATACTCAGGAGGATGAGGCAGCAGAATAACTTGAATCCAGGAGGTGGAGGTTGCAGTGAGCTGAGATCAGCCACTGCACTTCAGCCTGGGTGACAGAGCAAGACTCCATCTCAACAAAAAAAAAAAAAAAAAAAAAGAAAGAAAAAAAAAAAGAAAGAAAAAAAAGAAAAAGAAAATTCCCTCAACTAAGATTCATCAGAGTTCCAGAAGAAAACAAGTAGGCATATGAGACAAATTTAAAATTTATAGCAATTCATCTTACATTTATAGGATATTAAAAATGGAAATTAATTGAGAATATCCTGCAGGCAACTTTCTAGTGAACAGAGAGAAGAATTTATATCCATATATTATTTCTTCAATACCTTTCAGAGCAAATTGTTTAATGAAATATGTGGCAAATATTTATTTTAAAAGACTTTTGTTCATTTTTTAAGTTCTAAAATGTGAAATTACAAACCCCATAATGACAATTATATAGCATCTAAAGGGGACCTTGGACCAGAAATGTCAAAAGAAACTTTATTGGATACTTGAGTGAACTATGGGAAAGAAAGGCAGGGCAATATCAATGTTGACTTACGATCTTGGGGAAATATGGAGTTGTTACAATGGAGAATATCCTTGTTTTGGGGAAGTACATACTTGTACCAGGAAACATGGGGCTAAAAATCATAAATGCATATGTGTGGCTTGTTACAAAGGTTTGAGACAAAGAGAATGAGAGAGAGGTGTTGTGGGGAGCAGAAAGATGAGGAGCAATAGCAAAGATGGCAAAATGGGAAATCTTAGTGAAGAATATATGACAGTCCTTTTCACTGTAATTGAGGTTATTCTAAAACTTTGAAATTACTTCAAAACAAATTATTTTAAAATAAAATAAAATTCATATATGGTGGTAAATTTCAAAATGGTTATCCTTAGAGAAATTGTGACTCAAAAGGCTATGAGCAATACTTTGGGGGTGCTGGTATTGTTTCATTTGTTCATCTCCATCTTGGTTAAAGAATTACATTTAATTTGTAAAGATTCATCAGGTTGTATGTTTATGATTAGTACTATTCTCTATAAATGTAATAGAGTAGCAAAAGGAAAAATAACTCTTACTGTATATCTACATATATACACACGTGTTTATATACAAAAATGTATATATATGTGTACATATATATAATTGCTAATTTTTTTACATAGTAAAATATGATTTAAGACTAGGGATCATTTTTTTCATTAATCCTTTTAATGATTTAATATTAGTCTGCTCTATATTATTCTCAATCTTACATGTTCACTACTAATGTTGCCTAACATATGTAACAAAACATTAGTTAGCTGCTTGGAGAATTATTAGCACTCTTGCTGAGCTGTTTCAGCATTTTAAGGATGTATCAACCAGGTAATTGCCCTCAGCGTCTCTAGTTGATTTTGTTTTAATTGGCCCTGACGCTTGGATGTAATTGGTAGATATGAGATGAAAGCATAATATGGGACATATATGACCCAATTTGTATTGCTTGGTTCATTTGATTAACTTTCTAGGTAGCTGAAAACACCTTTTGTTCTTCAGCTCATTGACTGCATAACCCTAAGGCTGGCAGCCCACTAAAAAATGGAGATTTTCACTAGGAAATGTGGGAGCTATAATATGTTCAGTTATCTCATGCCCAACATATATGTATAACTGGGGTCATCATATTGACACTTCTTGCAGCTTACTGATACTTATTCCAAAACCAACTAAAAAAGCCAAAAAAATTCAGGAAATTATGTCTTTTATTGAGGCTATTCAGCCTAGTACAGTAATCATTTGTATACTTTTTTGTGCTATACTTGTAGAGGCAACCTCTATTCAAGGGATGACCTGCTGCTCAACTCTGGCATAGTGTTGATCCCTAAGAAATATCGTGTACCCAAAACACTGGCTGATGATTGTTTCCGTAGAAGCCAACCTAGTGCAATTTATACACATGCTTTAAAGTTTCTTAAATTAACATTCATTAAAAAATATATCAATATTAGGATGCACACACACAAGATACATGATGCAGAATGAAAACATAGCACCGTTAATAGATATAAATATTGCTTATGGATTACACATTATAAAGTTTGGAACCAGGTGGGGCACGGTGGCTGTTGCCTGTAATCCCAGCACTTTGGGAGGCCGAGGCAGGCGGAGTGATTGAGCCCAAGAGTTGGAGACCAACCTGGGCAATATGGCAAAACTCCATCTACAAAAAAAAACAAAAAATACCTGGCATGGTGGAGATGCCTGTAGTTCCAGCTACTCAAGAGGTTGAGGTGGGAGGATTGCTTGAGCCCGTGAGGTTAAGGCTGTAGTGAGCTGAGATCGCTCCTCTGCACTCCAGCCTGGGTACAGAGTAAGACTCTGTCTCAAAAACAACAATAAACAAACAAAAACCTTTGGAAAAAAAGTGAATTGAAGTGGTTGGGTAGGGTTTCATGGAGTTGATGAGACAAGCTGGCGTTTCAAAAAATAGCAACATTCTGTATGAGATTAGAGGATGGAAAATACATTTTAGGCAGGGAAAGTTGCTTGTGGAAAGACAGGAAAATATAAAAGTGAAACAACCACAAGCCCTGGTGCACAAATGAAAAATGCCACAAAGTATGGGCGTAGAAAAGTGATTACATCAATTATTTATCAGCTGACAGTTGTCTTAATGTTTTTACTATCTCATAAAATGATATTTTTTCAAATGTTTGATATTCAGGTGCAAGACATGGTGCAGCACTAAGCTTAACAAGTCTGTAAAACTTCCTTTGATATTTTTTACCATCATAATTTTTATAATGATTAATTCATATTTTAAATTGACATTTATTTTGGTCACCTAAAGATTTCTAAAATATCAAGTTATTATTTAAGTTTGAATAAATCAGCAGGACTCATATAAATATATCTTTACATCTTAGAAGTGCAATCTTTAAACATCTTTTTATATTATTAAAAAAATGGTTACTAGTGAATAAATGGGTTGTGTAGGTTTTTCTATTCATTGTGGCAGTGATATAAAATAATGAGAATGGAGCTTCACCAGTGTGTTAGTGCTACCAAGTCTTTGTGATAAACATGTGTTTGATGAAATTAAGCCTGCCAATTGCAGATACAAACTCCTGTTCTGTTTTCTCCAGTTATTTCTCAGGAAACTCTACTTTTTAAAAAATTCTGCCACTATTGTGAATAGTGCCGCTATAAACATATGTGTGCATGTGTCTTTATAGCAGCATGATTTATAATCCTTTGGGTATATACCCAGTAATGGGATGGCTGGGTCAAATAGTATTTCTAGTTCTAGATCCCTGAGGAATCGCCACACTGACTTCCACAATGGTTGAATTACTTTACAGTCCCACCAACAGTGTAAAAGTGTTCCTATTTCTCCACATCCTCCCCAGCACCTGTTGTTTTCTGACTTTTTAATGATCGCCATTCTAACTGGTGTGAGATGGTATCTCATTGTGGTTTTGGTTTGCATTTCTCTGATGGCCAATGATGACGAGCATTTTTTCATGTGTTTTTTGGCTGCATAAATGTCTTCTTTTGAGAAGTGTCTGTTCACTATTCACAATAGCAAAGACTTGGAACCAACCTAAATATCCAACAAAGATAGACTGGATTAAGAAAATGTGGCACATATACACCATGGAATACTATGCAGCCATAAAAAATGATGAATTCATGTCCTTTGTAGGGACATGGATGAAACTGGAAACCATCATTCTCAGCAAACTGTCGCAAGGACAAAAAACCAAACACCGCATGTTCTCACTCATAGGTGGGAATTGAACAATGAGAACACATGGACACAGGAAGGGGGAACATCACACACCGGGGACTGTTGTGGGGTGGGGGGCGTGGGGAGGCATAGCATTAGGAGATATACCTAATGCTAAATGACGAGTTAATGGGTGCAGCACACCAACATGGCACATGTATACATATGTAACAAACCTGCACATTGTGCACATGTACCCTAAAACTTAAAGTATAATAATAATAAAACAAAAAAAAAATTCTGCCACTTATAAGTATTTTCTAGTTTACTTGGAAGTAGATAAAGTTCCTGGATAACCAGAAGCCTTAGGATGGACGATCTAACTGGGACTTTCCCCGATGTATGCATCCATGAGTGAACTGTTCTAATGGAGTTGCCACTCTTTATGTTCAAAATATGCTTTATATTGCTGGTGAAGTGAATTAGTTATTTTTAGTGATTTTGTTTCTATTAAAATCTAGAAATAATAGAATAAAATACTGATATATTATAACTTTAATGCAAATAAAATTTGTAAAACTTATTTTCACATTTTTTGTAAAGGCAAAGGCTATGATAGAAAGCTTTTTTTTAATACAACACAATTATCTTTATTATTATACAAAAATCCTTTTTTGTAAATTAATATTTTGTTCTTGCACTCTAAATTGTCCCTAGGACTTAGAAATGAAGCATAGTTTTAATAGTCTCATCGAAAATGATTTCAAAAAATTAAAACACTTATGCCCGGATGCTATTAAGATCTAAAACATTATCAGACATAAGCATGCCATTTTTTTATTTATGGAAGCTATTATGGCTTATAGTTATCATGTTTAGATGAATATCTTTGTTACGCTAATGCTGGATATTTTGCATTGCTTTTCTTTGCTTTGTTTTATAGAGTTTATGTGTGTATTTAATGTAAAAAGGTGCCCATACGAAAATAAACTAGGCTTTATATTTAAAGTATTATGTTTTATTGATGATGTCAGTAATAATTTTAATTTGAATCATGTTAATAATAATTAACATATCAATCTGAAGTTTGAGTCTGAATATCATTTAGATCCTCAACACCCTCTACACTTTTATCCTGAAGACAGATGCAAATCACATAAATCTATGAAGAGTCAAAGCTATCCATGAAGAGTCTAATGGTGTTCATTTAGAGCTTTTGGCTTAGTTGGGCTTGGGCAAGACCTATGTAATTAGAGCAAGTTTCATGAGTAATTGATAAACTTGGATAACCCTGTTAAAAGAACACTAGCTATGAAGTGGTTAAAATCCTAGAAGCCAATGTTAAGTTAACAATAATTCACGTCGTATGGTTAAGCTAGTGTATGGAAATATTTTTAAGATTAAACAGATATCTAAGAATATGTTGCAGGGAAAAATAATTGACATGCTTTATGTACAAGATTTATCTATTAAGTAAGGTGGTGTGACCAGTAATAAAATACTGTGGCATTTTCTATTTCTCAAAGATTTATCTAAAAATTACATTTATTTAATCTAATATTAATTTGGTGGAATTTACAATTCTGTATTATTTAGAGATTCAAATTTACTGATTATTTTTAACTAATCTTTGATATTAAGAATAACAGCCTCCTAATGGTTTGAACAGTTTTCTTGATAAAACTGATTTGCATTGTTCTATTTTTCATTTGGGAAAGTGTAAAATGATATTTTAAAAATAATTACCATATAGATATGTAAATGAATTATAACTCATCAGAATAATTGAAAAGAAAATTTGGGTCAAGATAATTGCTATAAACATCCTTTGAAAATGTCCTTGGGATATTAATTCCTTTACTTCTCCATTGGAATAAAAATTTTTAAAAGCTCTTAGAAGTTTAACTAAAGTCTTCCCAATAATAAGGTTCTGTCATTATGACAGACAGCTATCATTTGGTCCCTTCTAGTACATGTAAATGTTTTCAGTGGATGCACCTGTCTTTTAAGTGTTTTCTAAAGAAAATGAAAATTACATAAGTTCAGGGATCTATTGGTTAAAATATTCTTTCCAATTATCTTTGTCAGCACAGAGAAAGATAATGTTAATTCTGACCTAAAGATATGGTTCAAGGATCTTTTCTTCATGCACTCTCACTTATGATTCTCATTGATCCTTTTAAGTGAAGGCCACTTAGTGAAGATTTTCGCCAGTAAATCCATATTTTTTTATGTTTTCAAAGTCTTGCTACATTTTTCTGTTAGTGATATTGTAAATACCAGGTAATTGGTATTGTTACACTTGTCCTCATTATCAATGTCGATTTTGAAAAACATTCTAGCATAAGTGCAAGATTCCAAGCTAACTGTCAATTATATTCTTACTGAACAGAAAGAGCATCTGGCTTTCGAAACTTCTGATTACAACCTTAAACCTGAGATGAATGTTTTAAAATACAGTTTGCATTCACAATCTTGAGCACAAGTATTATATGTAGATACTGCATCAATTTGTAATTTCTCTTACAAAAAGTTTTTTGTGGGAAGAGGAAGATGTTTTATTTATCAAAAACCATTGCTACATGAAAATGCATAGAAATACTAACTTCAGAATGGTGAGTAACATATGCTTTAAGATTTTTCAGATAGAATAGAATTTACAAATGCCATTTATTGTACATCTGTGAACATGAAGCCATATGTTGAACCTGACTATTCTAGAAAATTTAAATATACAAAGCCCAGAGGGCACTCTAAAATCTGCATCAAGAGTCATAAAAACCAGCATACCCTCTGATCCTGGACATAAAATATTTAGAAACAGAATATTCAACAACAAATTATTGCATATGAATTTAAATACATTTATATGATATAATGCATCTTTTGTTGGTTTAACATTACATTACTTATATAAGGACAATTGTGGGCATAAAATATTGACATATTATGTTTAAAGAGTCACAAAATAACATGTAAAGGATATTTATGTCTAGATTTCTCAATATGTGTTTATTAATAACTCTCAAGGATTACATGAAAAATATATTTTCAGAAGTAACTCATTATTGATTATATGTGTGTTTATGAAAATGGAATAGTTAAAAAAGTTACAATGATGATGCCAATAATTGTTATCAAATCCACACAGAGAGAAAAGAATAGTAATTTTGTAGTAGCTTTAGTTAAACTGTAAAGAAATACAGGCAACAATGTCATGCAAGGTGAAAATGTCTTCTACATTTTTGCAATACAGTTCTATTCTGATTATATGAATATGTATTTAAGGGAATATATTAAATATTAAGTTTTATATATATACATCAAGATAAAATATTTTAAAATCTGTTGATGAGATAGTTGATATACTACTACAAACATAATTTTATATCAATATATAATGCTTAACAATACTCTCACCCAACTGCTGACTAAGGCTTTAAAAGATTGTCTCTTCACATTCTGAGAGTCTCAATTGATAAGAATCTTTGTACACATGGGTGGTAGCAAATGACAGAACAATATTTATTTTTCTCTAATTGACAGAAACTTTTTATTTCCATTAACTAGAATTTTTCCATGTCAATTATTGAAAATTGTGTTTAAAGGAAAAAGTTTTTCCATAGTTCTATCAGTCTTTTCTTTAATTGAACAATATAATGATGAAATTAACTATGATAATGTAAAGTAAGTATGAACACAAGTCATTTTCTATACTGAAGATTGCATAAGCCTCACTCTAATGAGGTCTTTTCTTAAGTCTACATGGATATAGTTCTGCTAGTTTAAATAATTCTGCTGTAGAAATGAAATTATAACACCATTCAATCGATAAAACTGAGGCACTTTGAAACTCAAAGTTGACTTATTCTCTCAATCTATAAAATTTGTCAGAACATATTTAACACAGTAGCTAATTTTCAATTGCACTTGTTAAAGTGCTCACAATCTCTAATTTACAAATTATTTTTGGAGGCAAAAGTATTGTTCCAGAAACTTGCAAATTAGTGTCATTGCCAACATATTTTCAAATATTTTGCCTGTACACTCTTCATAGAGCCCTTCTTCCAGATACCAACGAACTTTAGCATAAAATAGCAGAGAGTAATATGCCATTTTTTCTTGTAAACTTGAAAACTGTACAAGTTGTATAAACTTAAATGTTATTATATTTAACACTCATAACATAATTTAATTCACCTTGGAGGTAACATAATTCAACTATATGGGAGAGTTTCTCTGTGAATAAAGCTGCATATTGTTTGAACATAATTTTTTTTTTTCAAGATGAGTATCTTCAGAGAGAATGACTTCTGCTCACAAACCATGCCATGTATGCATGGGGTTACAGTAATAGGTGTTAAATAAAACTTAGTTTCTCTAAATAATAATTACAGTATCAGGGCTTTTTAGGCTCTCTGAGAAATACTAAGGGGAGTGCACATAGGGAAACAGGTTCTGCATCCCAGGGACACAGGGAACAACCTTGCAGGGTGGCTTCAGTTCACGTGAGCTCACTGTCTACTAGAGTAGGTTACTCAAAGAGGAAAACAAATGACCCAAGGGGTGTCCATATTTGGTTTTTATCAGACTTTCCATGGACTTTGAGGGCTTATAACATATAAGTGACTTCATAGGCTATGACCAATATCAACTTGTAGTGTGGTATCAATGAGATCTCATACCACTGGGTCAGATGGAAGTTAAATATTAACACTTCCTAGGAATTCACACTATAAGACATTGCTAAGAGTAGCTGTGAAACACTATTTGGGGTTATTTACCCGTATGTTTACTAGAAAATGAAATAATCACTCACTTCCCAGCATACAGCATGTTCATAACCAACCAATTAAATTATGTCATCCACTTTTGGAAGAACTTGAATGTTTTTCCTTTTTTTCTAGGATTTGATAAAGACACAGGAGGCACCATGGTTACATTATAATTTATCTTTGAGAACAGAAGTATCATCCCATGGCCAACTCAGTGTTCAGGTAAATGTCTGCCCAGATGTCTTTGGTCTGAGCAGTGTTGATCTCTCCTCCCAGCTTCTGATGTCAAAAGCAGGCACTTCATGAACTGTCAGTCCATCTTGAGAAGGCACTAGTCTTGAAGAAAATTATATTGTTTTGAAAATTCAGGGAAGTATACAGCGCCTTCTCACATTCCTGTTCCCTACTATCTGACTCTGATTCCTAGACACACAGCTGAGGGAGAGAGGATGTGGCACATGTAACTTGTAAGTGGTTAATGACAGGATCAGCTAATCTTATAGGGGTTTAGCTGGAGAGGATGGTATGGTTGGCATAGAGTGAACACTTTGGAGGTAACAGTGGTCCCTATCATATCAAAAAATATTATTCGTGTGCACCCTATTTTTTTTTGCAGAGTTTTCAGTATTATGGCAGTTTTTGAGCACCATTTATTTGGGCCATAGGAGAGGTGATATCTGCACATATTTAATTGACTTTGAAAGTCCAGTTATTTCTCCTAAGATATGGTTGCTTTATTTTGGCATGTGGAACTGATAAAGATTCAGTAAGGGAACATGATATAATTATTAAAATATCTCACTCTATATGTATGTGTCTTTAGTAATATAGTCCTAAAGCTGTGACCATAGAATTAGACTATTATTGTTGGTTCATCACTCTGTACAGGTAGATTTCTATAAGTACTATACTGATATGCTTTATGTCCAGGAATAACATTTGAGTTTTAGCTTACTATGTAGAACATCCAAATACATAGGCATTAAGAATTCATCTTCACTGTAGTGGATCATTCCTGTATTTTATAGGACTTGGCCACCTTGAATGCTGGCTGTTTCTCCCAGCTAGCCACACTATAAGGACTAAGCCTTGTGAGAAGTTTGTGTCATGTCTTAAGTAAGAATGTATATCTAATGAATGAGCAGCTGCTTGTGGGTGAGAGGACTAAGAGCTCAGGGGCTGGTATTATCCATTAATTGGAGGGTCCATTTTAGTATGAGAATATTAGGTGTAAGATTTAAGACTTTTTTAGCGAGACGTTCTTTCTCTGTTAGGAGCCAGCCTAACCATAACTTCTTAATACCAAGGAATGTTGGTGGAATATTTTTGCCAAAGACTCCAGTCATTTATGAGAATGGTAGAAGATGTACAAAAACATAGATGCAATGGGATCTGAAGGAGAGATGGGGATACATGACAACATGTGTTACTTTTGTTTGAACTGTCTTTTAAGGCATCTTGGACAGGCACTCCCATTCAAGTGTGACTGACTTTGAAAGTTGAAGTAAAATACCTCAAGTGAACGATGTGCTGCCGTCAATATCCAGATAGCCCAACAAGTAGGTAGGCCTCCTTTTCTTGTATTTGATGGATGCAGAAACAGTAGATCATTTTTAATTTCTTGGGATTATAGTCCATTTAATTCCCAATGTAATCACTAGATAGTGTAGCCTTGGACTTTGTTCTCATTTGAGGCACAGCAATTTTTTCATAGAGGACTGCTATGGTTTGAATGTTTGTCCCCCAAACCTCATGTTGAAATATGGTCCCAATGTTGGAAATGGGGCCATATGGGAGGTGTTTGGGTTATGGGCAAGGATCTCTCAGGAATAGATTAATTCCCTCCCAGGGTTCCAGGAAGGTGGTGAATGAGTTCTCACTCTACTAGTTCCTACAAAAAGCAGTTGTTAAAAAGAGCCTGGTATCTCCACCACTTCTCTTGTGTCTGCTCTCTTGCTTCCTTTCTCACCATGTTGTCTCTGCACATGCCAGCCTCACTTTGTCATTCACAATGAGTGGAAGCAACCTGAGGCACTCACCAAAAGCAGATGCTGATGCCATGCTTATTGTACAGCCTACAGGAGTGTAAGCCAAATAAATCTTTTATTTTATATAAATTACCAGCATCAGGTATTCTTTTATTGTGATATTAAACAAACTATGATGAAGTCCTTATCAAAAACTCGTTGTAACAGAATATTTGTACATTCACCAGAAATCTATATTATACTAGAGTTCGTCCAATCCAGCAATAATCTGTCATTGGCATGCTTTGCCAGGCAGGGAGGGCAAATTGATTTTGGTTTTCTTTCCAAAATGATACAAAAAATAAACCATCAGCAATGCCTAAGGCTGCATGCCAAGAGCAAATAGTGGCAGTAGAAATACATCAGAGTTACTCTCGTGATGTCAGATAGTGTGGGAACAACAGTGGCTCCCTTTTCTTTAAGACTATGTAGTTCACAGTAAGGCTCTAGGCATAGTCACTTCCAGTGTCTAGTCAGAGCCATTAACCTTGAAGGATGCATTGCATAGTAACTCTGACTCTGCTAATTTTTCTGTGAGTAAACCAAATACTTTTCTTCCTCTAGCCAGAGGCAGTACATCAATTGTACTTGGATATAACCATTCTTGGCAATGCAATTTCCTGGTTTTGAAAAAGTCAAAAACTGGGGATGTAATGACTTTAACCAATTATTGGAATGTCCAAAACATCCACATGATACATAAAAGATGACAAAAGACTAATAGTACAGACACAGAAGCCAGAATAAGTAATCTAAGAGTGATCTAAACTCATGAATTTCACAATATTCTGGGTCTGTCCTTAGGAATAAAGAGGGGGATCATGTTCCAAATCTAGTCCTTGCTACTGTACATTACATTGCTATAGTTTTTTGAATTTCACTCCAGATTTCAGTATTATCCAGAATTTGCTATTTGCATGTTTGCACTTGAGCAGCCAATACAACTCCATCTCAGGTAGCTCTGCCTGTCTCTTTGAATTGTGTAATTCTCCTGGGATTTATAAAACATATACATTTTTGCAGTTCTTCTACGACAACTGCTTCCCCCTCTAACTCTGAAATTCTTGAACTCCTCTCTCCACCCAGTAAAAATGCAGGCACTTGACAGCATTTTTCTGTTGAAGAAAATACACCTTTCTTTCAAATAACCAACACATGTTGCTGTTATTTACTCCTTTGGGTTACTGTGGTGGGGCAGGCATCTTTGTACCCTTGGAAGGTTCTGAGAGGATTCCTTGGTAGGCCTACCTATTCATGGGTTACTGTACACCCAGCATCAGATGTTATCAAAAATTTCTAACACACAGGTGCTCCAGTTAAACCCTGTAGTTTCCCAGAACATGTACCACCAGGATTTGTAATGTTTGCTGCAGGCTGATCACCAACTGACTTGCAAAGAAGATCCCAGGAACACATCAGTACTGCTAGAAGGGGCAGATGCAGCATAAGCATATTAGGGATAAACTTTCACAAAAAGAAGCAGCACACTGCTCCCCATAATAGTCACAAACATGATTCCATAGCATAGGCCAGGAATAGATACTCTGAGTATGTTCTAGGGCCAAAGTTCCAAAACAGAGGTGTTCGCCTAGACAAGAAAGCTAGAGAGGTGCGTGACTACCACATTAGCACATAAATAATCATGCCTCCCAAAATGTTATATATTTATAGGCTGGCCTAAGTGGGATTAAGTATGGCCTAGCTCCCTACGTAGTAATAACAGTAACAAAAGTGTATCAAAGACTCTTCTAACTCAGGAACAGTGCCCAGGACCTGAAAGTGTACATGTCAAGGATCAATATCTACACACTGAGGGCCCTATGAGGACATTACTTGCCAGTAATGCTGACATAAGCCAAAGTCCGTGTATCTCCACAGACTGACTTAGTCTACCTGAATCAGTTTTTGACTAAGCTATGTAAAAGGGGAAGAAAAATGAGCCTCCAAGGCCAACCGGGTATTTTCACTCCTTACATAAAGTATTTAGTATGAGGACAATAACTACTAAGACTCACAAATCTAAATTTGGATAATTGACATTTTACTGCCTAATTATGATTGATTTTTTTCAGTTTTGTTTGGTGAAACTGAAAACTTTCTGAAATTACTAGAGAATAGTTCATATAGGTAGAAATATTATTATCTGTAAAAATTAAAATATTTGCATATAAAATATTTAAATCTTCAGAAAATAAGTTTTTCAGTGTTTTAAACACTTTGTGGTTGGGTCCTTAGAAATGTGTATTGTAGGCCGGGCACGGTGGCTCAGGCCTGTAATCCTAGCACTTTGGGAGGGTGAGGCGGTTGGATCACGAGGTCAGGAGTTCAAGAACAGCCTGGCCAAGATGGTGAAACCCCGTCTCTACTAAAAATACAAAAATTAGCCAGGTGCAGTGGCAGGCACTCCCAGCTACTAGGAAGGCTAAGGCAGGAGAATCGCTTGGACCCAGGGGACGGAGGTTGCACTGAGCCGAGATCATGCCACTGCATTCCAGCCTGAGTGACAGAGTGAGACTCCATCAAAAAAAAAAAATTATCGTTGTTAAATATTCCAAAAACATCAGGTATTTACAGGTAGCATAAAAACTTAAAAAGTATTCATACTTGTGAGAGTCACAATTAAAATTCTAAAACCTGCACAAAATATTAATATTACATATGCATGCAATACAATATTAAGTTAATTTTCTAGATCTCTAAGGCTACAGAAAATATTTAGTAAAATAATTGGTTTAAAATTTATAGAATGATTTACTTGTTTTAAAACATTTTTTCTTTGTTAAATGAAAGTAAATAAACATAAGTAGATTTTGGCTACTTGTTAAAATAAAATGTCAATAAATAAATTAGTAAATATATGTAGTAATTGAGAAAAATATCAACTATTTCTCTTCATAGAAACTTAATATCAGATGCTACTACTGCTAGTAATAACAACAGTAATGCTAATAACAAAAGCATCATGAGTCCCTTCTATGTTTTATACTTTATGACGGCTTTACAAACAATTTTCTAGGGGTAAACAAATGAATATTACATATTAATCAAATTAACTGGAATAATTTAATTCCATGATCTGGGAGTGAAAGATCATGATAATTTAAGCATGCCCACTAGTGAGAATGGTATTCCTAAGGCTTACACTACAATGTAAATTTTGCATTCAGGAAACAAAAACAGTGGAGTTAAAATTAAATTCTAGGCATTTTAAATTTATTTATGGCTGTAAATTATAGATTTGAGTTTTTATCACTATAGACTTTTATCACCCAACAATGCCCCCACAGAACACACTTGTTGGGAATACTTGCCTCAGGGCACCCTTCTGAGGACAAATATTTTATAAGTGAAAAACATAGTTTAAATAACTCGATATGAATATATTTTGTTGCATAGGGATGCAGCTAAATTAAACTTGTACTGTCTAGCTATAAGGAAAGTGTTGCATGTTTAAGACCCCTGACTCTGGAGCATGACTCCCTGAGGGTTCTACCTGGGTTTTATCACTTACACACCGGATATGATGGGTTACTGAGAGAAAAATCACAGAGAGAAAGAATCTTCTCATCACATCTTATCAGGAGCCAAGCTATCAGCATGGTTCACCACTGATGATGTTAAGTTTATCACATGGTCAACTTTTTGCCAAGTTCCTCCATCTTAAATTTATTTTTCTTTTTTTCCATTTTCAAGAATAAATTCCACCTCTTGATGAGAGAAGTATCTGCATAAATTATCCGGAGTTTTTCTATAAGAAAGAATTGTATCTCCCCAACCATTTATTTATTTATTCAATTATTTATATTAGTATGGACCTTATTATTTATTTATTTATTCAATTATTTATATTAGTATGGGCCTTATTCATTTATCTATTCAATGATTTATATGTGTGTGGACATGGAGTATGGAGTTTCTACTAATATAAATAATTGAATAAACAATAAATAGTATTTTTTTCTTCTGGTTATTATTTGATGTTACATTATTTATTTACTTCCTCAAATTGTTCCAGTTTTAGCCCTTAAGAACTCTTTTAGTTTTTCTCCTATATCCTTTGATGTACTCTTACAATTTCTTAAACATTTTTATTTATTTATTTTTTAGCTTCTATCTTCTGATATTACAAAATCCTACAGGCTTATCTTGTATTTTTTACCCAGCATTAGAATGGCTACTTCTCCAAAGAAACTTGGTTTATTTCACTGTAGACTGGTATAGGTCATCACAATGTGAATGCTAGATATCCTCAAAGCAGTAACTGAGTGCCCTTTTTAAAAACCGTCTCAGCAGAAGTCTTTGTTTTTATGAATGAAATCAAATTTCCCTTCAAATTAATTAAAACTACTTATACTTCTACCAAAAAGTTACGAAAGTAACTGCTTTCCAATTTCTCTAAGACTGAAATTTAACAAATATTTTACTGATTTAATAGGTGAAAAGCATTATTTAAATTTGTCTTGTTTTGTATTGATTTCCTTCTCTATTAAAAAATTGTTTTTAGCACAGTTTCCTATTTAGTTTTTGGCATTTCACTATCATTTTTTAAAAACCTTTTCTTTTTATACTACAATTTGTTCAATTATTTTTCAATTCTAGTATCAGAAAATTAGGAATTTTGGGGGTCAAATGATCTGCCAAGTACTTTTCTTATGTACTGTATTGTATTTGTCTTTAAGTATTGCATTAGGTCATTGAAATCACTAAATACATACATCTTATATTAATCTAATTCTAATTTTTATTAAAGTATCTTTAATTAAAAATACTTTATTTATTTATTTATTTTTTTTTGAGACAGCACCTCACTCTGTCACCCAGGCTGGAGTGCAGTGGCACCATCATTGCTCACTGCAACTTCAGCCTCCCAGGCTCAAGGGGTCCTCCCTCCCTCCAGTGTAGCTAGGATTACAGGTGTGTGCCACAGCACCTGGCTAATTTTTGTGTTGTTTGTAGAGATGAGGCTTTAGCATGTAACCCATACTGGTCTTAAACTTCTGAGCTCAAGCAATTTGCCCACCTTGGCCTCTCACAAGTGCTGGGATTATAGGCATGAGTCACTGCATCCAGTCTCAATAACACATCTTAATATCATTTAGTGGTAGTCTACCAGAGCAGAGATTCTTAATGTGGAGCATATGTGGTTTGCATATGTGGTTTTATTCACAATGTATACATTTAAAAATGGTCAAAATACGTGAAAACAGACCTAACTAAAGAAGATATAAAAATGGCACATAAGTGTATTAAAAATGCTCAACATCGTATGGCATTAGAGAATTGCATAGTCAATGTATAAGATGTTACTACACACCTATGAGAATGGTGAAAATCTGAAACACTGACAACACCAAATGCTGGCAAAAATGTGGGACAACAGAAACTCTTCATTCATTACTGGGGAGTGTGCAGAATGGTAAAGCCACTTGGAAAAGCAATTTGGCAATTTCTTACAAAACTAAACATACTACATGGTTCAGCAATCATGCTCTTTGGTGGTTACACTCAGATTTTATAGCAGTTTTATTCACAATTACCAAAACTTGGAAGCAACCAAGATATCCCTCAGTAGGTGAATGAATATATAAACTGTAATACAGCAGACAATGGAATATCATTCAGTGTCAGAAAGAAATGAGTTATAAAGCCTTAAGAAACATGGAAGAAACTTAAGTGCACATTATTAAGAGAAAGAGACCAATATGAAAAGGGTACATACTGTATAGTTCCACTGAAAAGAACTTCTGAAAAAGGTGAAACTATAAAGTCAATAAAATATCAGTGGTTGCCAGAGATCTGAAGGAGGAGAGGGATAAATAGGCAGCACAGAGGATTTTTAGGGAAGTGAAACTATTCAGTTTGATACTACAATGGTGAATACATGCCATTACACATTTGACAAAACCCATGCAATGTTCAATGCCAACAGTGAATCCCAATATAAACTATGGACTTTCAGTGATAATGATGTGACAATGGAAGGTCATCCATTGTAACAAATGCACCAATCTGGGGTGGGAGGTTGATAATGGAGGAGACTGTGCGTGTTGGGGGAAAAGAAATATATGAGAACTCTTGGTACTTTTTTCTCAATTTGACTGTGAATCTAAAACTTCTCTACAGAATAAGTTATATATATATATATATATATTTACACACCCTCATACCTATATACATAGTTATGTACTCTGCTAAAATAAACTCTCCTCATATTGAAAATAGAGAATCTTATTTCTGCATGTGAAACATCTAATCCAAAGCATGGCACATAGTCCTTAACATATTAGGAAAAATATGTTGTTCCATTTAACTTGTGACAGATATGCCAGCATTGTCATAGAGAACGATTTTGTTCAGCATACTTCCCTAGAAAGTTAATTATTATTACCATCATCCTCTAGCCACTTTCTAATCTTGTGTGAGCATGGCCATCAATCACTGCTGCTAATCCCTCAGTTATATCTTCTAGTACTAGAAGGCAATGATGGTCAAATCCTTGCATGTTTATTCTGTAAATTGTGGTCTATGAATTAGATAATCAAGTAATGACATCAGTGAATATATTTAAATATTGGACAGTACAAACAACACAAACACATAGCTTTAAAACTTCAACTTTTATTAAAATGTATAGAATTATATATTTATGCATAAAAGATACTTCATCCAACCTTAATATTCTATGTCTGACCATCATAGAATATTAAAGCTGTATGGATTTTAGAATTATTCTTTCTAAGTGTCTCATTTGTGTAGATGTGAAGCCAATAAGATTAAGTGAGTCCCTCAAGGTCACACAGCTTATTAGAACCTGGTCTTTGACTCAGAGCTCGTGTCTCTTTAACGAATAATCTTTTACCAGCAATCCTCCTTTGTGACATTAAGTGATGCATTGTTCTGATTTCATTTTCTACAATTAAATGGCACCATGAGCATTGCCAATTCAGCATAAATAAACTGAATTTGTAAAACAAATTACTCATATAAAATTACAATAAAACATAATAGTAGATGTCTATAAATAAAATTTTATTTTATGTATTTCAATTGTATTATTTTTGCGCCTATGCCACTCTAGGATCTTGCTATATCACTGTATCATAAAAAGTTACAAGTATAAAATTGAAGATAATTTGACAAGAAACTGAGTATCTCTGTTACACCTACCATTCTCTAAAATTGGTTGGGTTAGACAGTGATTCTTTAAAACTTTGCTGACTATAAAGGATAACCTTCAGAATGAATTAAAATAACCTGTGTTGCCCATGTTAAAGTCTAGTAATATTATTGGTTTTTTGGTTTATTTCAATATGATAGCTTAGAGTTCTGATTTATATAAAAATAATACCCAACATAAACAAATATGTTGTCTAATTTAAAAACTTGATAATACCTGATTCATTACAGAAATAACTTTCTTCTCATGGCAGAGGAAAGCAAATTAAAAGGGAAAAATAAAAAAAAGTCTCTATGAGTGCGTGAGTTTGCTAGAGCTGCCTAATAAAATACCATAATCTGGGTGGCTTAAACAACAGACATTTATTTTTTCTTAGTTCTGGAGGCTAAATGTTCAGATCAAGGTTTTGGGCAGGTTTGGGTTCTCCTGAGACCTCTCACTTTGACTTGCAAATAGACGATTTCTAGCTATGTTCTCAAGTAGCCTTTTCTAGTATCTCTCTCTCTGTATGTCCTAATCTTGTCTTCTTACAGTAACATTATAAGGTTTTGGGGGTTAGGGCTTCAACACATAAATTTGGGGAAAGCAATTCAGTTGAAAAAAATGGGTCAAGTTGTTAGCTACAATTCGTATGAGAAAAAAAGATATTGTGTACCGTAAAAATAAATGTTACAGGAAGTTAGCTAATTTTATCCAGGTTATTTTAAATCTACGTTAACCTTATTTTATATTCTTTATGTTAAAAAAACACAGCAGGTATGTATGTATGGAAAAAAGTAGGATAGTATAGAAATAAAAAAGCTTGTAGCACTGACCTGTTTTCTAAAACTTTTAACCTGAAAATGCTTGTATATCATCAATTACATTCAGTTCAGTGCCAGAAATGTAAAGGCTGTAGAAAATGATAAGAGCTTTGGAACGTTCCACCACTACTTGTGATATAAATTAAACTTAAAAAAAGAAAGCATTTCAACATTATTTTTTTAAACAAATAAAAGAAATGATTAATATTTGTCTTGCCCCTGACATTTTCAAACAATAAATAAATGACCCAGAAACCAGAAAAAAAGAAGTTCCTGAATAACTTTTATCTTATTTCTTTTTACACATTTTTCAATGTGGCGTTGCAAAGAAACATTTGTTGCCTGTTACATAGCTTGACCTAACCTAGATCATAATGCATAAGGATGTTAGTATTTCAAAAGCACATTTGTCATTTCAGATAATATATTGGAAAAGAAATATAATTTTTAAAGGTTGGCTACCTTTCGATATATTTCAGCAGTAATCCTGTGTTTATCTAATCAATAGGCTGAACATTATTAAAATGGGTTCATACTTGAATGCTTCATGTTCCTTGAACTCTTATGATTATTCATAAATGTAAAATAATAGAAACACTTTTGAATTTCAGCTGAAAAACAGTTGCTCATTTTCTAGTTAATATGAAAATAGGTTGCCATTTAATATTTTAAATAAATATAATTTAATATTAAATAAAATATATGATTGCTAGCTTTCATTACAATATTCATTAGCTTGTACCTTAAAGGATAGTAAATGCCTTTATATATCTTTCTAAATGTTATTGGGTTATCATTTTTAAACGTTGGATTACTCATCAGATTCTTTAAAAAATCATAGTAAAATTATCTTTATCAAAACCTATTTCTCAAAACACTTTAATGGATATTATATGACTTCAATTCTCACAAAAACACAGTGAGAAATTACTACTGCCTTGTCTTAATAAAAGACATTTTGGTGAAATTATCTATTCAGTTATAAAGTATCAATAAGAGTAATTATTCTTTTGCTGACATTGTAGTCTCTTCACTCGTGGATGATTATTCTAGGATGTTTTTTTAAGTTTAAATATTTTGTCAAAATTTAATGTCATTATTTTGGAAGTTCAATTCTATATATAAATTTACATTTGTTTTTTAAGTGCTAGATATTAAAGTGATTTCATTATAATTTTACCATGCTATTATAATTTTGGGATGTTTCATTGTTCCTAAGTGTACTTTTATTTCTATAGTTTGCCTTTAAAGTAGTAGAATGGCTTGCTTAAAAAAAAAAAACAGAAAACCTGATCTCATAATACTCATAATATTGCAACCATATTCTTCACACAAGAAGTACATTGTAACATTCTAGTCACTACTGGGAATTATGTTGCTACTAACTGAATCTTAACTCTAATGCAGATTTGTGATTAATAATAAACACTTTGTTACATTCATCATCAATAATTCATTATATAATAAGATAGTAATAAAGCTGTATGCATGAATAGTTAAATTTTTCTTGTTAACAATATTATTTTGGAAGAAAAATAATTATCATATGTATTCAAATAAAAACAAACATCTGCAAATAAATGGAACCTCATCTTTTATCTCCTCTGTGTCTTATGCTCATTACCTTTTGTCTCCTTACTGCTTCAGATTTTATTTTCAGTTATTTCCCCAATTTCAATTTGTTTTTCCTCTCAGACTCTGTTTCCCTCGGAGAAAATATGTTATCTTGGCATATTTCCCTTGTGTGTCTCTGGCAGGTTTTCTTGCTGTCTCATTTGGGGAAGCTGAGTTTTCCCCTGGGCATCCACTTCCACATTTTACATTTTGCCAAGATGTTCCTTGGTCTTTCTTTATTTCTTCCCTTCTCTCTGAGGAGAGACTGGTTTTTAACCTATTTTCCTTTATTTAACTCTTAGCAACTATGAACCAAATGTTTTTAGCCATGCTAAAATACACAAATAAGAATGTCACCCTGGGGATTATAGGAGTTGAATTGCAATAGTCCACACTAACATTTGACATATTACTTCTTGTCTCCTTAGAGAATTCTCTATCAGTTTGAGGTAATGAAATGCTCCCTCATCCTTTCTTCCACATTCTAGTGTCTTCTCAAGAGAACACACAAACAAAATCTTGCTTTCATTTGTTTGTGTCTGTCTGTATAAAAATGCACATATATCCCAAAGGTAAAGATTAAATCTCAGTGGCAATACAATTCAATACAAAGAATAGACAAGGAACTCGCACCATTAGGCAAAGATGTTACAATTGATTCTGTCACTTGCTGACATAGGATAGTTAAAAAATAGAGGAGAGGAAAGTAACTATTAGAATGCTCTTTAAATTAAGGTTGTTTTGGTTGCAAGCAACAGATTTCAACTTTAGTTATCTTTAGCAAAATTGTACAGAGAGTTTACATCTATGGAAATATGAAAACCCAGCTTGAAAGTTTGCCAAAACCAAAAAAGCATCACAGGGGCAGAAAGCAGAAAACTATAGGATCCTGCCTTATAAAGAGTAAAGCTACTTTCTGAATTTTCAGGCTCTTTTATCATTTTGTTGAAGATTTATATTACAGGGAGAAATCTTCTAATTGACCAAGGTTGAGAAAAATGTTTGCCTTTTGTAGCTGAGAAAGAGTAACTTAATGTATACAACCAAATTCCATTGGATAACAATGAAGTAATTCCACATAAGACAATCAAGAAGAGGAGGTTGGCCAAGACAAAAATCACATGTCTGTTATAATAAAGTCATTGCATTGCCTAGCATACATCTTTATTGCCTAATATAATTCTTGAAATCTCAAGATTAACATAAGAAAAATATTCCAGGAACAAACAAAACTATATGTCTCCTTCAAGTATTACAGAATATCCAAAGTTGTATTAGTTATTTTAGTATCCTACTTTAAGTTTAGCTTCTCAGAATAAAAACCCTCATTAATCTCATTGCAATTGATTTTCAATATTTTAAAAAGTGAGTAATTTATGGTGTATTTAACCATCATACATTTGTTGCTAGTGGTGGGGATATGTAGTGGGAATATTTGTTAAACAGATACAGATTTACACATTGCAATCCAAGGAAATAAATACAAAGAGAATCTATATAAACTTTATTTTTACAGTTACAAATCTTTAACTTCCAACAAACATTTCATGCTCCCTCAGATTCTGTATTCTAGCTAGAAATAATTATCTTCTTGGTGGAGTGATACAATCCTTTATTCTTGAGAGGCTGAGGGTTTCAGTGGTTCTACCAATATAGGGTTGCAGTCTTGCCTACTAATCATGGCCACCAGGCATGGTAGTAGATCCATTAAATCAGCATATCATCAATTTCATGAATCAGTATCACATCATGTGCAATGGAGAAGCATTCAAGGGTCCTTTAACACAGGCCTTGATAATTAATGTACCCCTGAGTAGTACAGTAAAGATTTATTTCTGCCAAGCTAGAAAAAGGAAAACTGCTTCTGATAATCTTTATAAACAGGTTTTGGGGAAAAAAGCATTTGTCAGATTAATACCTACATATCAGGTGCCAGATGTGCTAATTTGGTCCAGTGCTTCAACTACATTTAGAACATAATCTGCAATAAGTATAACCAATTACATTTTCTGTAATCCACTCTCATTTTCTAAGACTCATCTGTCTTCTGCACAGGTAAAAAAGGCAAGTTGAGTGAACATACGAAGGAATTCACCTCCACTACATCGCGATGGTAGCATCAATCTCTGAAATTCCTTAAGTAACATGGTATTACATTTGATTGACTGTTTTGGCTGATAGAGGCAGTTATAATCACTTCCAATTCACCTGTATTGCCATAACAGTCTTAACTCTATGGATCAGGGTATCAATGTAGAAATGTGAGTTACTAGTTATGAATATTTTTAATTACAAAACTGAGGAAATAATCACAGATTGCCCTCAGGTTCTCACTGGTTTCACAGGAAGGTAGACCCAAACCACACTTGCTGGGAACAGGCCCCCAAATCTGGCCATAGACAGGCCCCCAAACTGGCCATAAACAAAATCTCTGCAGCACTGTGACATGTTCATGATGGCTATGGTGCCCACGCTGAAGGTTGTTGGTTTACCAGAATGAGGGCAACGGACACCTGGCCCACCCAGGGCGGAAAACCGCTTAAGGCATTCCTGAACCACAAACAATAACATGAGCGATCTGTGCCTTAAGTACATGTTCCTGCTGCAGATAACTAGCCACAGCCCATCCCTTTGTTTCCCGTTTTAGTTGATCTACAATCTATAGAAACAATGCTTATCCCTGGCTTGCTGTCAATAAATATATGGGTAAAACTATGTTTGTGGCTCTCAGCTCTGAAGGCTGTCAGCACCCTGATTCCCACTCCGCACTCTATATTTCTGTGTGTGTGTGTGTGTGTGTGTCTTTAAGTTCTCTAGCGCCACTGGGTTAGGGTCTCCACAACCGAGCTGGTCTTGGCAAGTGGTGCCCATACATGGGGCTCAAACCCAGGTCAAAGGGTCACCAGAACGATGGTTGGAAAACGTGGAACTATGCTGGAGGACACCAGAGTACTCTTAAGCAATCCCCTTGGTGAGTAAGAAGGGGAGCTCAGAAGCATCAGGGTAACAATGGAACAAGTGTAGGCTCTGGTTTGTTCCACCTTGGAAACTTTTCACACTGATGATGAGGAGGAAGGCGAGTATAATGTAATAGAAGAGGTGACAGAGCAGGTTTGCTTGCCAGCTAAAGCTAAAGCAGCAAAGTAGGGAGAGGCCTGTCCCTACCTTTCTGCACCCCCTCATTATTTTGAAGAAAAAGAGTGGCCTGACCCTCCAGATCTTCCTTTTCCGGAGGATGCTGGGCAAAAGTAGTTGCCCCAGTGATTGAGCAGTGCCACAAGTGACCACTCTCAGTTCTATTCAGGCAGGATTTCAGCAAGTTAGATGAGAGGGTGAAAGTGAGGCTTGGCAGTTCCCTGTTAGGATACACCCCTCTAGATCAACAGGGAAATATTATAGCTACATTTGAGCCTTTTTCTTTTAAATTACTCAAAGAATTTAAACAAGCTATTAACCAATATGGACCAGGTTCTCCTTTTGTAATGGGACTGTTAAAGAATGTTGCTGTCTCCAGTCAGATGACATCAATGGGGATGGTAGGTTTACTTCTAGGTAGATCTAGTTTAAGTTTAAAAGGAGTGCAAGTACATACAAGAGTCACTGATTCAGATTATAATGGGGAAATTCAAATTATTATATCTACTTTTGTTCCCTGGAAAGCAGAGCCAGGAGAGTATATAGCACAGCTCCTGATTGCGCCTTATGTGGAAATGGGGAAAAGTGAAACTAAATGAACAGGAGGATTTGGGAGCACAAATAAACAAGGCAAAGCAGATTATTGAGTGAGTCAAATTACTGATAAATGTCCTACCTGTGAAAAAACTATTCAAGGAAAGAAATTTAAAAGTTTGGTAGATACAGGAGCAGACATTTCAATCATTCTCTACAGCACTGGCCATCCACGTGGCCAATTCAACCCCTCCAATTTAACATATTTGGAGTTGGTAAAGCCCCTAAAGTATATCAAAGCAGTTATATTTTGCATTGTGATGGGCCCGATGGACAACCTTGACTATTCAACCAATTGTAACTTCTGTACCTATACATTTATGGGGAAGAGATTTATTACAACAATGGTGACCACGAGTTCTAATTCCAGAGCAATTATACAGCCCTTAAAGTCAACATATGATGCATGAAATGGGGTATGTCCCTGGTATGGGACTAGGAAAAAATTTGCAAGGTTTGAAGGAACCACTTCAAGTGGAAAGATAAAGTTCCCGCCAAGGTTTAGGATATCATTTTTGATGGTGGCCATTGTTAAGCCTCCAGAACCTATACCTTTAAAATGGTTAACAGATAAACCAATTTGGATAGAACAATGGCTGCTAAGTAAAGAGAAACTGGAGGCTTTAGAGGACTTAGTTACTGAACAATTAGAAAAAGGGCACATAGCTCCAACATTTTCCACCTGGAATTCTCCAGTCTTTGTTATTAAGAAAAAATCAGGTAGATGGAGAATGTTGACAGATCTTAGAGCCATTAATTCAGTTATACAATCTATGGGGTCATTACAGCCAGGATTGCCTTCTCCTGCTATGATTCCAAAAAATTGGCCTTTAATAGTCATAGATTTAAAAGACTGTTTCTTTACTATCCCCTTAGCTGAGCAGGACTGTGAACGGTTTGCATTTACAATTCCTGCAGTAAACAACCTGCAACCTGCTAAACATTTTCATTGGAAAGTGTTGCCACAAGACAAGTTAAACAGTCCAACAATTTGCCAGACATATGTAGGGCAAGCAATTGAACCTACTCATAAAAAATTTTCACAGTGTTACATTATCCATTATATGGATGATATACTTTGTGCTGCCCCCGCTCAAGAAATATTACTCCAGTGTTATGATCACTAGCAAAATTAGATTTCTCATGCTGGTTTAATTATAGCTCCTGACAAAATTCAGACTACTACTTTGTACTCCTAGTTGAGGACCTTAGTAAATGACACTACAGTAGTGCCACAGAAAGTAACCATACATAGGAATCAATTGAAAACATAAAATGACTTTCAAAAATTACTAGGTGATATTAATTGGATATGACCTGCTCTAGGCATTCCTACCTATGCTGTGAGTAATCTATTTTCTATCCTTAGAGGAGATCCTAGTCTCACTAGCCCTTGGCAATTAACAAAGGAGGCTGAAGCAGAGTTACAGCTAATTGAGAAGCAAGTGCATACGACTCAAATACATATAACAGATTCAGAGAAGACTCTAGATTTGCTAATTTTTTCAACTTGGCAGTCACCTACTGGTGTCACTGTTCAAGAGCAAGATCTTGTAGAGTGGCTTTTTCTACCACATACTAATTCAAGGGCTCTAACTCCTTATTTTGATCAAATCACTACTATGATAGGAAATGGGAGAACTCAGATTGTTAAATTACGTGGATATGATTGTGGAAAAATTATTGTCTCTCTCACAAAGGCATAAATACAGCAAGCCTTTATAAATAGTCTTACTCGGCAAACCCATTTAGCTGACTTTGTGGGTATTCTCAATAACTATTTTCCTAAAATGAAAGTGTTTCAATTTTTGAAAGTAACTAATTGGATTATCCCTAAAATAACTAAATTTAAACCAAGTGAAGGTGCTGAAAATGTCTTCACAGATGGGTCTAGTAATGGTAAAGCTTCTTATTCTGGCTTGAAAGGTAAAGATTTTCAGACGCCCTATACTTCAAAAAGTATGCCCTACTCAAAAAGCGTAGCTTGTAGCTGAAATTGAGGTATTGACTGCTTTTAATATGCGTATTAATGTGATCTATGATTGTTCATACTTGGTTCATTCCACACAATTAATTGAAAATGCTCAGCTACAATTCCATACAGATCAACAACTGATGACATTATTTACCCAATTGCAAACAGAAGTTAGGAGTAGAATGCACCCTTTTTACATCACTCACATTAGGGCTAATACATCTCTCCCAGGACCTTTGACTGCAGGGAATCAAATGGCTGATCGCCTAGTTGCTACTGCAATATCTAATGCTAGACACTTGCACAATTTTACCTATGTTAATGCCTCTGGTCTCAAACACAGATAGAGCATTACCTGACAAGAAGCGAAAGCTATTATCCAGTGATGCCCAACTTGCCAAAAGGTGCATTGGAACCTAATTCTCTTTGGCAAATGGATGTCACCCATGTTCCTTCGTTTGGGGGACTAGCTTATGTACGTGTATGTGTGGACACCTTTTCTCAATTTGTTTGGGCTACATGCCAATCAGGAGAGTCTTCTGCCTATGTTAAATGTCACCTTTTGCAGTGTTTTGCGGTGATGGGCATTCCAGCTTCTATTAAAACAGAGAATGCCCCAGGCTGTACTAGCCAAGCTCTAGCTATATTTTTCTCTATATGGAATATTAAACACATTATTGGTATCCCATATAATTCTCAAGGATAAGCCATAGTTGAAAGAATGAACCTCTCCCTGAAACAGCAGTTGCAAAAGCAAAAAGGGGGAAACAGGGACTATGGGACACCACGTATGCATTATTGACTTAAAACTTTTTGAGCCTGCCTAAAGGCCAGATGCTATCAGCAGCTGAACAGCATCTACAGAAACCAGCTGAAAAAACAGAAGCATAACAACTGGTTTGGTGGAGAGATCCGATAACAAAAAGTTGGGAAATAGGTAAAATAATAACTTGAGGTAGAGGTTATGCTTGTGTTTCTCTAGGCCAGAACCAGCAGCCGATTTGGATACCATCAAGACACCTGAAAACTTGTCATGAGCCAGATACCCAGGAAGAGGTTTTGGAAGGATCCCAAAGATCCCCCAGTTGCAGCCATGTTGAGACTGACACTGAGGAGGACCCCAACTGTCATTAGCAACACCCATCGAACATAGCCACCTACCTGGGGACAGATCAAGAAGCTGTCACAGATGGCAGAAGAAAACCTGAGGAAAGTGGGACAACCAGTCACAGTGAGTAATTTAATGATAGCTATGATAGCGGTGATCACCATTGCCATGAGTATTCCTTTAGCAAGGGCTGGCACAGAGAACAATTATAGTTATTGGGGATATTTACCTTTTCCACCACTTCTATGGCCTGTAACTTCGCTAGACCCCTAATGGAGGTATATACTCATGATAGCTCTTGGATGCTTGGTCCTTTAGATGATAGAGGCCCATCTCGCCCACATGAGGAAGGAACTGTTACGAATATTTCCTTAGGATTTGAACACCTGCCTATCTGTTTGGGAAAGGCCACTAGTTGCCTACCCCCTTGCTATCAATCTTGACTGGCACTAATGCCTGGATGACACAGTTACACATACTTTGTGGTCTCAGTATTTACCATAATAAATCTGCTCCTATAATTGAGGCATACCACCCTCAAAAACCTATTTGTAAACAGGATTGGACCTGGTCAGAAAAAAATGAATGCCCTTGTTTGGGAAGATTGCATTGCAGAACAGGCAGAGGTGCTGTGCGACGATTCCTATGGAATCATTATTAACTGGTCTCCTGAGGGAATGTTTATCTTGAATTGCACTTCTTAGTCTGTGTGCCATGGACACACTGTGTTCACCTGGTCTGAACAAAACAGTCATATGGTAGAAATGGTAAGAAGTATGGCAAGAGTTCCAATTATCAGGAAACATGGAGGTATAGTGGCACCTCAACCTCAAATGATGTGGCCCGCTCTAGGAGCTAAACATAAGGATTTGTGGAAACTATTAATGGCTGTTAATAAGATCAAAATTTGGGAAAGAATAAAAAAGCATCTAGAAGGACACTCTGTAAACTTGTCTTTGGATATTGCAAAATTAAAAGAACAAATATTTAAAGCATCCCAGGCACACCTGACCTTAATGCCAGGAACTGGAGTGCTTGAAGAGCTGCAGACAGATTAGCAGCTATTAACCCATTAAAATGGATAAAAGCAATTGGAGGCTCTGTGATGGCAATGATGATTGTGCTTTTAATCTATGTTGTTTGTCTTTGTATAGTCTGTACACGTGGATCCCAACTCCTGCAAGAAGTAGCTCACTGTGATAAAGCCACATTTGCTTTTATCGTCTTGCAAAAACAAAAAGGGGGAAATGTTGGGAACAGGCCCCTAAATCTGGCCATAGACAGGCCCCCAAACTGGCCATAAACAAAATCTCTGCAGCACTGTAACGTGCTCATGACAGCTATGACACCCACACTGAAGGTTGTTCGTTTACCAGAATGAGGGCAACCCAGGGCTGAAAGCCACTTAAGGCATTCCTGAACTACAAACAATAGCATGAGAGATCTGTGCCTTAAGGACATGTTCCTGCTGAAGATAACTATCCAGAGCCCATCCCTTTGTTTCCTGTTTTAGTTAAACTATAATCTATAGAAACAATGCTTATCACTGGTTTGCTGTCAATAAATATGTGGGTAAAACTCTGTAAATGGCTCTCAGCTCTGAAGGCTGTCAGCCTCCTGATTCCCACTCCACACTCTACATTTCTGTATGTGTGCCTTTAATTTCTCTAGCACCACTGGGTTAGGGTCTCCACGACTGAGCTGGTCTCAACAAAACTCTTTTGAATGATTGACTTCTATTAACTTGTGTTCTGACTAGTACACTATAGAGATATTTGGGGCCTCAATTTAAAACCAGTATTAGGTGGGCCTCAATATTCTGATTATTTCCTTTCTTCAGTATACAGCCATCTTGATGAATAATGTGAGGTTGTTTTAAGGGAAGGCTGAAAGAAGACTTACATTATAAATTTCTGTCAGTGTAGGATACTCCCTCAAGAGGATGAAGCCTCCTCTTCATTCAATCATCTCTGTGCTGTCTGGGTGTGGTGGCTCATGCCTATAATCTCAGCACTTTAGGAGGCAGAGGTGGGCGGAACACCTAGGTCAGGATTTTGAGAACAGCCTGGCCAACGTGATGAAACATATCTCTACTAAAAATAGAAAAAAAAATAGCTGGGCATGGGGTGGGTCCCTGTAATCCCACCTACTTGAGAGGCTGAAACAGGAGAATCACTTGAATCTAAGAGGCAGAGGTTGGAGTGAGCCAAGATCACACCATTGCCCTCCAACCTGGGCAACAAGAGCAAGACGCTGGCTTAAAAAATATAATACTTTCTGTGCTGTGAATTGCCTTAAATTTGAAAATATTTTGAGGGTTTGTGACTCTTTATTGTAGTAATTTACTCATACTTGTGTTTACCAGATCAAGATCTTTTCTATTTATATAACTCAAGAAAGATGTAAGGTGACCATTTATTCCAATTCTAGGGTCACCATGGTTAGTTAGTCAATGTCAAATATTTCTGCAGGGCAAATCATTATGGTTGTGGTGTATATGTGCTTTCCATTAAAGTAACTACAACTACTTTATCTTTGACAATTACATGCTACCACTTGGCCCTTGCCACACAGGGGGCCATCCTCTGAATTAAATTTAAGGAGTTAGGTAGTTCAAATGCAAATTTTTGCACAATAATTTTTGGACTACAGAGAAGAGAAAATAAATTTTGGACTACAGAGAAGAGACAATTTGGAGTTTGAGAATGCTAGGATTCTTCTTAGAAATATATTTATCAAGGCCAGGAGCAGTGTCTTATGCCTGTAAATCCCAGCACATTGGGAGTCCTAGGTGGGCAGATCACTTCAGGCTGGGAGTTCTACAACAGCCTGGCCAATATGGAGGAACCCTGTCTCTACTGAAAATACAAAATTTAGCCAGGTGTGGTGGTGGCATCTGTATTCTCAGCTACTTGGGAGGCTGAGGTAGGTGAATTGCTTCCATCTTGGAGGTGGAGGTTGCAGTGGGCCAAGATCATGGCATTGCACTCGAGCCAGGGCAACAGAGTGAGACTCCATCACACACACACAAAAAAAGACTCCATCTCAAAAAAAAAACATATATATATATATATATCTCCACACACACACACACACACACACATATATATACATACACACACATATATACATATATATAGGTTTTGAGGTATATATATATATATATAGGTTTTGAGATAAATCTCTCTCTCTCTCTCTCTCTCTCTCTCTCTCTATATATATATATATATATATATATATATATATATAAGCCTTTACAAAGCAGTATTCTCTGAAGTTTTCCAAAGGACATAGTTTGGGGTTATTGCATGATAAATCTACTCTAACATTCTAGTGTCCCCAGTCTTCTGGGGACTTTCTTTACCATATGCTAAGAAATATTTAGCATTTTACTTTTATTTAATATAGGTAACCTTTGGGTCTAGGTTTTATTTGGCATATCAAACTGTGAGAGACACTCCCATTCACTCTAGCTAACATGATAAACCTAGAATGCCTTATCAGTGTATCCCTATCAATGATTTCAACCTGATAAAACACTGCACTGATTTTACTCTAACACAATACCCTTAAGATTTCTTTCTGAACATTTCTCCCCATTTTTATTGAGGTAACTTGTCATAATATGCCTGATGGGTTCCATATTTTACTTTTCCCTTTGGGACATGCTGGCACTTGAATCTGCTGAAAGGTACTAGAGGCAATAAGAGCCTATATGAATGGGTCCAGAAGATGATCAGAAACATTCCAGTAGGCAACTTCCTCACAGAAGGAATTTAATGATTATTTAGGCAACGGCAGACTAAATTCCTCAAGGAAAGGAAAAAAGTCTGGTTTTATTGACCAGGAAAATCAGAAGGAATTTGTGACTTTAATATCTCCAATTTGATAAGAATCTGCCCACATGCTCTCATTTCAGTTTTCAGGGTTCCATTCCTTCCCAATGTTCTAATTTTATAATAATAGACTTAGCAAGGTTGTAAATTCAATTTGTATTGTAACTCAGCCACCTATAGGATTACACTCTAACTATGGATTTGAGCAATATCAGCCCTGCAGCCACAGCCAATAATGACTGTTAAGCACAATCATAGACCTTTTGTTGTTCTTTACTCAAATATTTTATCTTAAAAATTAAAGCACTGAGCTTATTATTTTATTTCCCCACATTCTCCAGTGAACATAGAAGCAACCAATTGCATTATATTCATTATTTTAGCAAAAATATTCTGAGAGTGACTATTTTTTAACCCAAGCCTCATTTTCAATGATAATTTCATTATAAGTATCCACAGGTAATAATTTAATGATTTTCCAATACATTGTCCACTTTTCCTCTGGAAATGAGGTCATCAATGATCTACTAAAATCAAAATTTAATATAATTTGTAGTCAAATTAAATTAGAGAACTCATTCCATATAATCCAAAACCTATTCAGTGAACTAATTTGTATGATTCTGTTTTCCTGAAACAATCTATCTTATTTTTACTTATTTATTTATTTTTAAGACAGAATTTCACTCTGTTGTCCAGGCTAAAGTACAGTCATGAGATCACAGCTCACTGCAACATTGACCTCCTATGCCCAAGCAGTCCTCCTGCCTGAGCCTCCCAAGCAGCTGCAACAACAGGCGTGTGCTGGTACACCCAACTATTTTTTTTAATGTTTTTGTAGAGATGGGGTCTCCCTATGTTGCCCAGGCTGGTCTCCAATTCTTGGGCTCAAGTGGTCCTTCTGCTTCATCTTCTCAAAGTGCTAGGTTTACAGGCATGAACCACCATGCCCAGCCTAAAATAATTTTTGGTTTCAAATTCTGTATCAGACTTTGATCAGAAAGCAGAAGGCTGGGTGAAGTGGCTCACTCCTGTTATCTCAGTACTTCTGGAGTCTGAAGCAGGAGAATCACGTCAGGCCAGGAGTTTGTGACCAGCCTGGGCAGCAGAGCAAGGCCCTGTCTCTACAAAAATAAAAATAAAATTCACTGAATGTGGTGGCATGTACCTGTAGTCTCAGCTACTCTGGAGGCTGAGGTGAGAGTACCACTTGAGCCCAGATTTAGAGGCTTCAGTGAGCTATGATCTTGACACTGCACTCCAGTGTGGGAAATAGAATAAGATTAAACTAAAAGAAAGCAGAATACTATTTAATATGTAGTTGATTATAAATATTGCACTTTACACAATCCTGAAAGCTAACTAAGCAGTATATGGAAACCTGTGACTTCTGTGTCTGGCGTTTTGTCTGAAATGAACAGAGCTTTCAGTGCTCTTTATTTATTTATTTATTTTTTTAACTTGAGAAGAAAATAACTTCTACCTAATTTTAACCATTATTACTTTTGGAATTTGTCAATAGCAGGCAAATGTATTTCCTAACTCACCACTATGGTAAAATTCTACTTGCCCTATTTTCTAGAGTATCTAATCTATGGATTAACTATCGCTACCTGTGTACAATTTCCATTAGGTCGTAGTTCTCACAAAATATTTTCTGATTATTTCTACCAATGTGATGTCTCTCTATGCTGAGATTTCCTCAGCTCATGTATTGAGAAGCTATGTATCACAATTACAATTAATTTTTTCTAAGCTTCACCTTTTGCATATTTGGTCACCTTCCTTCACAATTGACACATTACTTGAGCACAAGATCAGCATATTTCATACCTTACACTTCTTAAAACATGAGAGGTGAATGAAAAAATGGCAAAAGCGAATTCCCATTTAATCTGTTTCTGGCAGCAAAAACCTCGCTGATAAAAAGGATATGCTACCAAAACAGCAAACAAATAAACAAACAAAAGTACAAACTCACAATTCTATTTTTCACACGTTCACATTTAAATTATTTAAGATTTCAAAGTTTGAAAATAAAATAAATGGCTTAAAAATCATTATTTGATACTTAAGCATGAATAACTGAAATCTGACAACCTAGCTCTACCTAATGTTTAGAATTTGACGGAATTATATATCCTGGTTTTTTTCCCCAAAATGATTATAGTATTTACAGGGCCAGTAAAACATGTAGTAAGTAGAAAATAGTTTATAAAATGTTTCTAGGCAACATAGTAATTGGATATATCATAGATACTTAGATGATGTTGGGTGATAAGTGACAATTGGCTATGCCTTTCTACTTCCACAGTGTAATATTTTACCTAATTGCTGGTTAATAGCTTTGGTGATGTCATTACAATTATCCATCAGTGCTTTACATATGCACACACATTAAGCAGATAGAGAGGGTTTGTTATATTTAATTGACATCAAAATAACCTATTCAATAGTATGAAATCAGAGAAGTTATGATTTAGAAGGGGAACCAGTTGAAATGCTTAAGCCCTTTTGAATTTATTTTTTAAATATTTCTAGAATGTATCCACTTGTTCTTTGTGTTACTTCACGCTCCATTTGAGAGTTATGTTGGAAGTTAATCCTTAGTCAGTTTCTGCAGCTCAATTAATTAGTTATTAAACTCAGTCATTGCCGTTTTCCCCAATGAATCACCAGATTTTTGAAGACCATCCAAATGGCTAAATGTAAAATAAAATCTATAGTCAAACACATTTCTTGTGGTTAATTAGACTGCTTTATAGAGTGTGTTCTTTCCTAAACGATAGAACTTTTCAGTTTATTCTCATAGTTGGACATTATATTTCTAAGCTTTAAAAAGCATATAACATTACTGCTGTTGAGGGTCCAATTTTAATCTTTTTAGATGATATAATTTTTAACAAGGGGAACTTTGGGTAAAAATCTTTAGTTACTTTCAACAACATAAAAACTGTGAATATATACATTATTTTAATACGCAAGCTTTGCCTTCTGTTGTTTTAGTAATATAGTCTAGGCTGTGGTTATTACCAATGAGACACTTGTTTTCTAGAATGAAAAATAAAGCATATTTCCTAAATTGTAATACAGTGTAAGAAGGCTGCAAAAATAAAACATTAAAATACTAGTAAGTGAATGGTTTCTGTGATCTAACTGTCCTATCTGCAAGCTGTGAATATAGATTGTGTTATTTAACTATACAGTCAGTAGGCATCCAACCTTTTGCTGTCACATTAAAAATTATGCAGTTCAATGTTCAGAGGTACAGCTGGAGGCGTACATTCATCTGTCACTTGAATTATGTTTACCTTCAAGCCTGAAAATCAAATAATCCAGGATGCCCCTGTTATTGATATTTCCTCTCTTAAAATATTTCTTTTGGATTTTAGTTAAAATACATATTCTTAAATTCTTTTAAAATAGTCATATACACAAAAATTCCTCTGACGGGTTCTTCAATGTGTGCAACATCCAGTACTTGTCACTTGAAACTAGGACAAAATTGCACTGATTCTTGTTTGTTTTAAATTTTTATGCAAGCAATTGGATGTTACAGAATATTTTACATACAAATGAGTCCAGTCCTAATAGAAATCAGGAATTCTGTCAATCAAGGGGCGGGGTGAAAGGGAAAGCTTTCAAATATGTTGGTTACCCTCCACTGAATTATATAATAAGTGGCTGCAGAAATGTGAGAGTAAGTAATAACATCCTGAATGGAAGCCAGTGGTAGGTAACAGAGTGATTTGTGACATTATCAGTGAATGGCAGTGAACATATTGGATAATGTCATGAATAAAAAGCTGATGGAGACTTTCTGCCATTTATTTCTAAGTCACTCAAACAAGCTATATGCAATTACTTTAGAAAATTATCTCATTGCATTGTTTAAAAACCAGTCTTTCTGAGGAAAAGGCAAACTATTTAATTTTCTCAAACCTATAAAGGGATTTACTTTATAGTAACCTATAAAGTAAAACCTATAAAGATTACAAATGAATACAAATATATTCTTATATTACTAAATACACATCACTAATAGAAATTTGACAAAAAATACACAATAATATGTAGTATGTTACTAAATTTGGTAGTAATGTAAAATAGTGAAATTCGCTTTTAAATAAGTACTGATATCAAGAAATTGATGTTTTATAAAAATAATTCATTTACACAATTGAACTAAATATGTCGTTAATTGAAAAGAAGATTAAGAAGTCTTTCAAAAATGTTATTATATAAAAGACCAATAAATGTTATTAGAGAAAATTAGCAAAAATTGTTCATTCTTTTAATTTTAACCTAGAATAGAGACTTTGTGAGAGCAATGCCATTTAAAAGAGCACAGAGAAGAACAACGGAGACTGGATTAAAAGCTACATATGGGGGAAATAAAAGGTGATTAGTAAGGTGTCAGGTACAAAGAAGCAGGGAATCATCAGTCGTAATATATAATGTGGTTCCAAAATGATGACATCAGTTTTAGTGTTCCATCGTGGAGCATTACTAGAAGAAATTTAATTTATTTGCTATATGTTATTCTATTGTTTCCACGTTCTTTCCTTTTTTTCATTGTATGATAGCCTCTGATTAGCAGGAATTTTGTAAAAAGGAAGAGAGATTGCTATCTTAGGAAATAGAGGAGGAGGTGGGATCTCATCACTTCAACCCCTTCTATAAAAGCTGTCTGTGAATCTAGATTGGGTTCTGCATTACGTTATTCTACTAAATAAAGGGTCATCCAATTAATTGTTTTCCATTAAAACTATTGAGATGTGGCAGATGAAATTAAATTAATGTTCTTGGATGAGGTTCTCATTACTGTCAAACAGGGGCATGGATTCAAACATTGGAAGCCTACTACATTTCGCTATTACTGACCTGTAAGAATAAGTTACCAGCATTCACAATGAATCAGTAAATCAGGAATTTCAAAAGCATGCTAATAAATACAATTTTAATAATTATGTTTTTTTTATAAAATTGATCTAGATAATTCTTTTTCATTCTGTAAAATAGTGGTACAGTTTTTAGTTACTTAAAATGAAAGATTTGTGAGATATATAGAATTGAATCAAACACTGTCCCTGCTCTTAGTTCAACAATGTATAATATTGGAGGCAAAGTGTTCAAAAAGTAGAAACACTGTGTAATAACCTTCACAACAGTATATAACAAATCTATAAACTAGATAAAGTGAGATGAACAGGATGGAATGCTCAGCTACAGGGCAGGTCTGAGGTCTGACGTTCAGTGGAATAGCGTTATCTAGGGGAGATTTTAAAATGAAGTTTTGCAGGATAAGTTTCCAAGCAACGTGGTGAGGGTAGCTGGGAGCAAAGAATCTTAATTTGGGACTCCCTAATATTTCATTTTCATCAGTGTTGATTAGTGATTCATAGGTACTATATATTTTCACTCACACTATGAATCCTGATGGCATAAGAGCCACAGCTTCTAAAAGAAGTCAAATTTTAAACCAAAAAGTCCAGAGAATATTTATGGCAGCTTTTGAATTATGGTTAGCAATAAAACATGATTCAAGTAAGCTGAAAATAGTTGAAATGATGGTTTTTTAAATATACACATGGCCATCAATCTGTTATATAATTTTTAAATAGATATATACATAATCTATCAACACCAGAATTATATTTAAACTATTGAAATAAAATAATTCTATTCAAAATTTGTGTTACTTAGTGAACGTTTAGTCATAGATTCAGAGCTAGAAAAGGTGAAAGAAATCTCTGATATTATGAGCCTTTACAGTTATAGTAGAAAAGTGAAAGAAATTTAATATAATACAAATTAATAAAATATATTTTATTTTATAAGTGTCACCAATAATAATCAAAGTCATGATGTTTAGAGAGTGTGTAATAGAGGGACTAAACTGATCCTGAGAAAGTGGAAATAGATGCTCAGAGAACTCTTCAGCAAGGAAGTGATACTTACTTTAGCCCCTGATGGATCAGAGTCATGAAGAGAAGTGGCAAAATAGAATACAATGATGACACAATAGTTATGTGAAGACCTTCAGGTAGAAAGAAGACTGAGGTTGTTTGAAGATCCAATTAGGTCTGTTCTTATGAAGACTATATGGAATTTAAAAACTCAGTCAGAAATAATATTTTCTTAAGAGGGTCAAGAATGCTTTGTAATTCTAAATTACTCAATATTATTTATTCTTACCAACATTACCTAAAATTCTCGTACTACAGCTCAACTATTATGATCAGATATGAACTTAAAACAATGATCTCTTAAATTTAGCTTCTCAAAGAAAACCATTTTTACATAAACAACTATGTTTTATATTATTTTTAATGACTAATTTATTACTTATTAATTAACTTTTACAATAAAAATGTCATAAATTTAGTACCTAAATCCAAACTGTACATGAATATTTTTGCTCTCAAAGTAAATATTGAAATTGATTTATCCTCTTGTTCTTCATTAAATATTCAAATTTTACTTTGAAAATGGGGAAATAATATATTTTACAGATTTAATATAATCTTACATAAAAAGTAACATTTTAATAACTTTTCCTGCTTAATTGTCATTTATATTGATCTTTAAGCTGTGAAAATGATGTCTTCTAATAGAAGTAGCTTTAAAATCCATCAATGCAAATTTTACATTAATATCTTGAAAAAAATGTATTTTTAAGATATAGAGTACTGAGTGTTTTTACTTTCTGAGTTCTGTCTATACACTTAAATTTCAGTGTTTTTTATCTGAAAATATGATTCAGTAGATTTAATGTTAGTATTCCCAAACTGGATAGACTTTTTTTTTTAAATTAACTTCATAAGTTTAGTGCTTTTGAGAAAGAATACGAGCTTAGCTAGGCATGTTTAAAATTCTAGAAAAGGGAATAATGATTAGTATTTTTTTACCTGAAGAAAAATGCATTACGCTACTTCAAATAAAGGCAGGGAGGGTAGAACTTTAATATAGTCAGAAGGTCATCTAGCCTTTGCAGTATAGTCAATATTATTCTGTCTTTGCTTTGTAAGAAATGTTCTTTGGACAGATTAAATATGCAAAGCTCATTAAGGCCAATTTTATTACACTACCTATTATTTGCTACTTTAGGTTAAATTTCTCACTTGTAAATTAAATGATTATAAGTTGATGTACATTTTGCTTTTCTAGTTCAGTCCCCATCACCAAATAATATTTAAGGAAAGGAAATCACTACGTAATGTAAATTAGTTTTCAGCATGATTATGTCCTAGGTAATAAAAATAAATAGATTTTACTTTTAGACCTTAGAATTTAAAAGTCAAATGCAGGGTAGATTGCAGGAGCTGCAAAGCATCAGTTACCATTGATGGTAAAATATGCATGAATAGGATCCTGCAAAATGTTATATCCTTGAAAAATAATTTCATCAAACAATGCCACTTAATTTTTTGGGTATTGTTGTATGTGAAATGAGTTTTTAACATGATAGATGAAACAAAATAGTACTTCTGATCTTCTACATACCTTATGAAATAATAAAAGTATCATTCATAATTATCCTGGACATAAAACTGATTACTATATTAAAAATAGAACACCTAATACTCAAAATTATTGTCTTTATAATCTATGTCTTCATGAAGTGCCTTCTCTCAGACTGCAACAATTTTGACCAAAACTAGTAATTTCTGTGAAATAAAGTGAACACCAAATTAGAGCTTTAGTTATATTTCATATTCCTAGTTTCTTTTGGGCACTCTAGTTTTATAATAAGTGAAGAAAGCCAACCAAATTTTCAACCAAATAAGTATATTTAATAAAAGATATATAAGCAACACAAATTAATTCATTTGCCAGATTTTTCCCTTGGTGTTTAGGTCATAAACAGAGATCAGCTATAAGCTATTAATAACCATCCGCTGTTTCTTAGTGTGTTTAGTGAATTTACACAGCAAGGGTAATTAAATGTTTATATGTCAGGTGTGTGTGTATGTGTGTGTTTGTGCGAGTGCTTCCTTCTGTGTTTCTTGATGCACACAAGACTTCTTTATAAGCTGCCCCAAATCAAAGAAGCATCAATAACTGTTTCAATGGTACATAAAATGTAATCTACTCCATCAGCTAATCATATCCTCATGTTCAAATAATTTTACTCTATCTAAAAAGATGATCAATTTAAAGAATAAAGTTAAGTACAGTGGCTACCCAATTATTTTCTATTCTAAAGCATACAATTATTTGCTAACTCTCAAAAATTAAGAAAAAAAGCATTTGCCATCTAGAATTCTCTGAATTTGCACATTCCTTTGAGGAGAAAATATAAAGAGAACTAAAAATAATACACAAAAATACTTATTTTTAGCCAGATTTAACTTAAGCCAAGCATAGCACTGTTAACATCAGTACATTTCTTAGAAGCTTTAACATGTATACCATGAATCATGTGTAACCAGTGAACACATAGACAATCCTCAATATATCACATATAAGCAAGGAGTTCTAAAATACATGAAAATAACATTTATAAATCAATTAAAATACACACAAGCAAGACAACTGGACACATTTGAATAGATAACTCCCAGTTTTTTTTAAACATAGCTCATAGATAAATTAGGTGTTACTTTATTCAGTTCCAGATAAATAAAATTAAAGTGGAATGAATCAAAGAAGGAGAGATTCTCAGGATTTGGGGGAAAAAGATAAACTGAAGACTGGTAGTTACCTCTATTTAATTTCTCTGTTGTGTTCTTATTTGGTAACTTGCTGTAATTTTATACTAATATTCTATAGTTTCAAGCTGTCACTGTCATCATTGTATATTTGACACAGTAGATGGTCTGTGTTTAAATATGCTAATGTAAACACAAAGAAGAATAAGAAATATGAGCATAGGCTGAAGGTGCTAAGTTGAGAGAAAGTTATTCTCACACATCTCAGCTTCTAACGTGGGGTTTGTCATTTTTCTGTACTTACTTTCTGAAACTTTTAACTGATAATTCTTTTCTTAAATAAATAATTGACACTAAAATACTACTAACATGTACTATAAATATGTAGCATTATGTACTTTGGTCACAATATTTGTTTTCCATTAATGAAAAAAAGGTTTTTTGAAAAATAATGAGAGCATTTTTTTATCATTACACTTTATGAAGTCCTAATAAATGATTTTATTCCTTATTTACGCTAATAAGCAATGTCTTTATTAGTAAAATATATATTGCTGTAATATACTTAACTACTGAGATGCACAGCTTATATTATCATTATTTATATATGTATTCAGTAAAGATCATATATAACCTCCAAAAAACACGAAATGTAGCTCCAATATTCTTACCATGTTATTATAAAAATAATTTTGAAAAAAATGACATTTACTACTCCCAAATAAATTTTACAGTTCCATTTAGACATCTCTTATATATGCTGTTAGGAAGGTTTTACTATAACCACAGATCTGGTAGGGAAAATTAATAGTATTAACTGTAAAGAAAAATACTGATTTGTACAATGAGTATATAATTGTGATTCAATGTATGTGATTCAATGTATGCTCTATAAAGTTTAAAATTTTAAGAAATAATATTTGTATACATTCAGGCAACTGAAGAATAGGCCCTGTCACAAAATGTTTTTTAATTGCTTTAGAAGTTAACCATGAATATCAGTTATGATATGAATATGTAGTGTTTGGAAATTCCAGGTGAAAGATGAAAGTACCTTTAAATGCTACATAAATTAATATTATGAAATGTTAGCATTAATTTTATTAATTAAAATACAGTGACAATAACAAAATACAAAACAGGTGTTGAAAAAGCTATTGGAACAATATTCACATGGAATAGAAAAATATCGGGTTCTCCCTAGTGTCTAATTCATTGCATGTAAAACTGGAATGATGAGGATATCAACAAATTTCCCAAGAGTAGTAATTAAGAAATGCATTTCAAATTTATCAGAGACTGATTAGAATGATTTACTATCCATGCAAACATACCAATCAAAATTAAATGTACCCATAAATATAAATTTAAATTAAATAAATTTTTACAAATGTATATAATTAAATAGTAATAACAACAAAATATATATTTTAGAAAGTGTACAAATTTTGAGTTTTCTTAAACAAGTTAGTTAAAAACCTATAAGGTTCTTCTAAAGAAAATACAAACATCAAAAATAAGAACTGTCTAGATTTGAGCCTTAGGCTCACCATTGCTTGATGTCAAGGCATACTGGTAAGGAGATATTTAGTAACATTAAACATTAAAATATTATGCAAAACCTCCCAAAACTACAATGTCAAATGATGCAATACAGGTAAAATTAATAATAAGAAATCATCATGTATTTCAACAAGAACAACATAACTACAACCACCTTCAGAAATTATGTTATTTCCTTTGAAAATTCAAATGTTAAGCGATAAAGTGCTTAACTTTATAATTATTCCAGATTGCTTTGGAGTTGAATATTGGCTTATATTTAGTAACCAAAAATCAAAAGTTAGGCCGAAAGGTAGGATTAGTGATTTTACATAGGGTTCATCTTAAAGCTTCACTTTTTCTACATAATCTTATATTTAATCAGTTTTAGACCCTTTATTTATTTTAAATTTCTTTATGCTCTGCTGTCAAATATATAGTTTATTAAAGGAATAATTAATGTCAGAATCTCTCCTAATAGGCAGTGATTCCATTAAGAATAACCAATGTAAGTTTACAATTAATATCTCCAAATATATTTTCAGATTTTTAAATTTTAGCCCATTTATAGAGTAAATCTAATACTCTAGTATTCACCTAATGCTAGACTATGGCACAAACTTCAGTATTTATAAACCAAAGTTAAGTTTTATTTTCTTCTCAGTATCTCTAAATGCAATGTAAGCAATATCTTAGATGAATTTCTATTAGCTCATAAATAGAATGATATTATAGTTATCCTAACACTAACAGAAGATTTTGCTATTATTTTTAAATTAGAATATATGAATCAATGATATTGGTAATACATAAACGCCACATTGTATTACAAATACAAATTCGAATTCAGCATACATGATGTCTCTGTATTATGCCACGCTTGCATTGCTATAAAGAAATACCTGAAACTGAATAATTTATAAAAAGTTTAATTGGGCCGGGCGCGATGGCTCACGCCTGTAATCCCAGCACTTTGGGAGGCCGAGGCGGGCGGATCACGAGGTCAGGAGATCGAGACCATCCCGGCTAAAACGATGAAACCCCGTCTCTACTAAAAATACAAAAAATTAGCCGGGCGTAGTGGCAGGCGCCTGTAGTCCCAGCTACTTGGGAGGCTGAGGCAGGAGAATGGCGTGAACCCGGGAGGCGGAGCTTGCAGTGAGCCGAGATCGCGCCACTGCACTCCAGTCTGGGCGACAGAGCGAGACTCCGTCTCAAAAAAAAAAAAAAAAAAAAAAATTTAATTGGCTCCAGTTCTTCATGCTATAGAGGGAGGACAGTGCCAGCATCTGCTTCTGGGGAGGCCTCAGGAATCTTACCATCATGGCAGAAGGCAAAGTAGAGCAGGCACTTTACATGGCAAAAAACAGTAGCAAAAGGAGAGAGGTGTCATACATTTTAAGTAGCCAGATTTCATGAGAACTCAGTCTCTATCACCAGATCAGCACGAAGAGGATGGTGCTAATCTATTATTTTATACACTGACTTTGATGCATTAAACTTTTTATTCTTATTCAATTTACAAATGATTCAAAATGATTCAAGTTTGTATCTGCTTTTTAGAATGTAATGCAATAAAATTATTTAACATTTAAAATGACTTTTAAGGTTTAAATTAAAAATCGCATCACTTGAAACATAATTTTATTTTTTCAATTAAATATTTTATATTCATATTTATTTACGCTGAAAATGTAAAGGTACATTATCAGCAACATTGATTTTCTGCAGTAGAAAATGGTAATAAACCTCTAATGTACACAATTCTTTCATCTTTTCTGCTGCAGGCATTCTCCCTTAATTCTGATAAAGATATAAAACATTGGTTAACTTTAAACTTTCACTTTATTTAGGGCAATATATCTCCTTACATCATTTAGCGATGAATATTTGTGATATGTCTGTGTGTGTGTATGTGTAAACATGAATATATGTAGGGAAGCATATGTGTCATTTTACACAGACATTCACACACACACTCATATATGTATATAAATATCCTGGGCTGTAATATTTTCTAATGTATTTTATTTAGAATTTACATCTATAACTTCCAATACATTAAAGCAAAGATAAATATTGTTATATCTTGAAAGACACTTTGAAATATTTGTTATGATTTTTTGATACCTGTTCAAATTTGAAACCCTTGTATGTTGTGCTCATTCTCTATTGTAGCATAACAAATCAGTACAAACTCAGCACTTAAAAACAACACACATTTATCTCACTGTTCCAGTAGGTAAGAAAACCTAACTTGGGTTACCTGTGTTCTTTGCTCAAAAGACGGATATAGAAGTGTTCGCTGAAGCTGCAGTCTTTTCTAAGGTTTGGGTTCCTCGAGCTCACTCGAGTGGTCGGCAGAACTCATTAATTGTGGTTGCAGCTTGAGGTCTTTATTGTTTTCTGATTGTCTTCTGGGGGTTACTCACAGGCCCCAGAGGCCACCCTTAGATCGTAGCTACTTGGCTCTCTCACAACATGACAGTTTACTTTTTCAAAGACAGCAGAAGAGTGTCTCTGCTATCCAGTGTAATAAACAGGAGTCTTTGTGGCATTATCATGGGGGTGACTATATCATCATTTTTGCCATATGAAGGGACGATCAAGGGAGGTGCTATCATATTATATTAACAGCTTCCCCCATATTCAAAAAGAGGAAATTTAACACGTACAAGGTATGTATACAAATTTATACATACAGGGCATGTATAACAGGGCAGGAGTCTCAGGGATTACCTTAGAAGTCTGCTCATGTATGTGGCTAGAGATAAAATGAGTCTTTTTGCATAGGGGCTGAGGGAAATGTCAAAGTATGTTAATGAGATCAACTTTAATAAATCTAAAATCCTTATACAGATGTGATTTTATTTTACACTATATTTGGCTATATTAATATAATATATGTTATTTTAATAATTATCTACACAAAAGAAATGAGTGAGTGTGTGGCAGTTTGGGCTATCTGAAGTTACCCTTTTCTGATGCTGCTACACTAATGGCTGCTACAGTGTAGATCGAGTGAATTAAAGAGAATAAATGAATAGGATTGTATTTCCTTGATTTTTATAAAAATGAAAATGCTTTACAAAATCCTCATGACAGACTCTGACTGTGTCTTTTTCTAAGCCCTCTGCAACGGAATACATTTAAAATTCTTTTGTGGCATCAAATCCCAGCTGCCTGAAATCACCTGCCTTTATAAAATAAGAGAGCTAAGGTGAATGGGAGGATACCTAAAAGGGATGTTTTGTTATGAAAATGCCAATAATTTTAATGTGAAATGATTCAAAGCTACCAAAATCAATGGTATATACATTTTTTAAAAAGACATGTGCAAAGTGCGTATTAGTATGTAGATGCTGATAATTCATGGTTTTTCACGTGTAAAACATCACACATTTCAATTTTATATTTCTTTTGTTTAATGGGATGGCTGTTATAGTTTTACTATGCCTAAAGTTGGATAAAAGTATGCTGATATGCAAGGTCCAGTTCATTAAGTATATGTATTATAATTAAATATAGGATAATACCTGTAAAGTACAACATATAATAACTAGAATTATTATTGCTGCTGTTTCTAATCATAGAAAGTTTTTTTTCAATTAAAGAACTACTGTTCTGATTCACTAAGAAATAACCTGAGAACATCAAAATTATTTGAGGCATAAATATCATTAAATATAGGACAAATTCAACAGGTTAGTAAAATGTAACAGCTACATGACAGTGCATGGTTTTAAAAAGCAAATAAGTCTAATAATCCAAAAAGCCACTTGGTCTTGTCCAGTTATTTTTGTGTTATGAAGATGTGTAATGTGAATGAGAGAAAAATGAAAAGTTTGAGAATAATGTATTATGTGCATACACTTGAAATTAAGACGACTTGGGATAGTATACACTTATAATTTCCAATAAATTAGCAAAAGTTTAAGTTGAAATTTTCTGGATATTTTAATACATCATATACCCCATACACAAAATAGTTTGTATTTATTATCCAGTTCCTCCAACAGTGTTCTGTTATACATGATCAAAAAGTATCTCATTAAAAAGTGACAGTATTGGCCGGGCGCGGTGGCTCACGCCTGTAATCCCAGCACTTTGGGAGGCCGAGGCGGGCGGATCACGAGGTCAGGAGATCGAGACCATCCTGGCTAAAACGGTGAAACCCCGTCTCTACTAAAAATACAAAAAATTAGCCGGGCGTAGTGGCGGGCGCCTGTAGTCCCAGCTACTTGGGAGGCTGAGGCAGGAGAATGGCGTGAACCCGGGAGGCAGAGCTTGCAGTGAGCCGAGATCCCGCCACTGCACTCCAGTCTGGGCGACAGAGCGAGACTCCGTCTCAAAAAAAAAAAAAAAAAAAAAAAAAAGTGACAGTATTTTGCATTAGTTGTACTCAAAGACTCCTTGAGCATTATACCAAAGAAAAAGTAAATGACAGTTGGTGTCAACATTAAACAGCTTAGGGCAAACTATTTTTTCAAAACCTATGTAATTTAATTGAAATGCAATATTTCATGAATATTAGAAAACTAGGCTTTATTAAAAATGGCAAGGAAAAGTGAATGCATGACTGTTTAGAGTAACAAGCAATACAAATTTATTCATTCAATACATCACTGAATTATTTAAAACTCAGCCTAAGCACAAGGTCATGGAATAATTTTGGCAAGTAGGCATTTTGCATGATGCATTTCCATAATTCCCCTGAATCTATAAAGTTAATCACAACTTTGGCATGGAGACCTTTTTCATGTGCTCACAGGGCCAGATAAAGGCTTTGAATCAAAGTTAGAACTAAATCAAACTATTAACACTTCCCATAGAAAATAAGTACATACATGTGTGAAGAGAAATAATGTTAACTTGTCACTTTATGACTTATAAGCAAATAAAAAAATATTAAAATCTCTAGAACTCTTAATTTTAATTTTCTTCCAAAATCCAAGTGATATTTAGAAGTATTAAGTTCACAGACATTCACAAACTTTCACACAAAAGGCTTCAAACAAAGCCTGCTATTTTTGTAACTGAAGTAGTAATTATAATTTTTTGTTTCTGTTACAGTGTTTTTTATTTATAGCATTTTCTTCATTTTTTTAGAGTTTCCATCTCTTTGCATTCATTATCCATCTGTTCTTGCATGATGTCTACTTTTTCTATTAGAGTCCTTAGCATATTAATTATAGTTATGTTCAAAGTCAGGATTGATAATAATAACATCTTTCATGTCACAGTCTTGGTTCTGACGCTTTCTGTGTCTCTTCAAAATGTGTTCTTTTTTTTTTTTTTTTGTCTTTTAGTATGCCTTGTAAGCTTTTGTTGAAAACTGGATATGATTTAGTGGGTGAAAGGAAGAGAAGTCAGTAGGCCTTTAAGGAGGTTTTATGTTTATCTGGCTAGAGATTATGCTGTGCTCACCGTTTGCTGTAGCTGTACGTGTCAGAGGCTATATGTCCCTCTTGGGTCCTTATTTTTGTCTCTTCCATTGTCTTTCCCTAGAAACTTGTTTTGGGAGTTGAAACATGTAATTCTCCGATTTTCACATCAATAAAACATATTGATTGAATTTATTGTATTGGTTGCACTAAAGCTGGATATTGAAGTGTCATCTGATCAATTACATTGGCATGTGAGATGGCTTTTAGAGAGAAAGTGAATTTTCCCATCTCTCTGTTTCATTGTCTCAGTTCCAAAACAGAGGGGTCATAGCAGGCATGATTTCTACTAGAATCAAAATGACAGTACATAAGAAATTCTACATATATACATTTCTAAAGTAAAATATTATTACAATTTCCAAGTGAAAACATTACAAATAACAAAACATCCTTCAAAACTATAATAAAACAGTTATTAGTACTTTGCAGTTTTCAGGTGTGTTTTGCAAGGAGACAGACAAATCTTTGCCTTGCCACTTGTGAGCTGTGAGACCTTATCAAAGTAACTTACTTTATTTGTGCTTCCAATTTTTAAAAATAATTTCAGCTTTTATTTTAGATTCAGAGGGTACATGTCCTGGATTGTTACATGAGTATTTTGCATGATGCTGAGGTTTGGGGTATGATTAATTCTGTCACTCGGGTACTGAAAATAGCACCCAAGAGGTAGTTTTTCAGTCCTCTCTCCACTTTCTCTCTCCCTCTTCTAGTAGTCCCCAATGTTCTCACCTTTGTGTCTGTGTGTACCCAATGTTTAGCTCCTACTTATAAGAACGTGGTATTTGTTTTTCTGTTACTGTATTAACTTGCTTAAAATTAATGGGCTCCAGCAGCATCCATATTACTGAAAAAAAAATCTGATTTTAAAGCTGCATAGTATGCCATGGTGTATATGTGCCAAATTTTTAAAATCCAATCCACCATTAATGGGCACCTAGATTGATTCCATGTTTTTGGCATTGTGAATCGTGCTGCAGTGAACATATGAGTGCGTGTGTCTTTTTGGAGAAACAATTTATATTTCTTTGGATAGATACCCCATAGTGGGATTTTTGGATCTAATGGTAATTCTGCTTTTTTTATTTTAATGTTTGTTTTAGGTTCAAGGCTACATGTACAAATTTGTTATATAGGTAAACTCATGCCATTGATGCAGGCGTGGGGCAGGGAAGTGCTAGGAGGAGAAGGGCGGGGTTTCTGGTGAGGATTCCACCCTCGGGCCTGTACCCTTTTTTCTGCTTATTTTATCCAGCATAATTATTTTAATATCCATCCATGATTATCCATGTATCAACTGTTAATATTTTTCCATTGTTGCCAAGCACCATTCGTTTTAATATTGCAGTGTATATTGCTCAACAATTGGGTTATTTCCAGTTTGAAGCTCTTATAGATGAAGCTGTTATAAACATTTGTGTAAAAATCTTAGTATAGATGTATGCTTTTATTTCTCTAGAACTGACAAACGAATAGAGGAATGGCTGGGTTATGTGGCAGGGATATATTTATCTATTTAAGGATCTGCTAAATTATTTTTTAAAGTGGTAGTTCCCTTTCACGTTCAACCTGCAAGTTATAACGGTTCCAGTGGTACCTCATCAGCAGCAGCACTTTCTATTATGAATCTTTTAAATTTGGATATTTTAATAGAGTTCTAATGCTTTTCAGTGTGAATTCAATTTACATTTCCATAATGATTACTAACGTTGAATATCTATAGATGTGCTTATTTACTAAATGCATTGTATGCTCACATGTTTTGTAAACTTTGAAAAACTGGGTTGTGGTATCACTATTATTGAGTTCTCTATATGTGCTAGATACCAGGCTTTTGGTTTTGTGGTTTTTTAAATCCCATATTTGTACTGCATTTTTTTCCCACTCTATGACTTGCCTTTTCATTCTTTCAGTTTCTGCCAAAGAGCAAAATTGCCTACTTTTGATGAAGTGACATTTATCGTATTTTTCCAATAAATCATGCTTTGGTGTTGTATCTTGAGATTTTGTCTATGTTAAATTCATGGAGATTTTCTCATTATGCTTTCTTCTAAAAGTTTCATAGAGTTAGATTTTACATTTAGATTTATGAACAATTTGCTTTGATTTTTGTACATTTTACAAGTTATAGATTGAAGCTTAACTATTTGCATACGTGTAACTAAATATTGTAGCACTGTTTATTAAAGAGACTTTCCTTTGTCTACTGAAATGACTATGCACCTTTGTTAAAAATCAGTTGCATTTTTTTAAAGTTTATTTATGGTTTTATTTGATTTATTTGAGTTTTATTTGATTATTCTCATTTGGGAGATTGTAGAAGGTGGAAGATTAACAATAGACAGTCTTATGAGACACAAGTTCCCAATATAATTTAATTTTATTATTTATAAAATTATATATTATACAATATATTACATAAATATATATATATAAAATATTGATTACAGTAGTATTTACTAATGCTGAGTTTCTAGGTACTTTTTCTAAATGCTCCACCTGTATTATATCATTTAATCCAAAAAGCACTCTATGAGTTTGACAAAATTATTGCCCTATTTCACAGAAGATGGAACTAATGCATGGAGAGATTAAATAATTTTACAATTTTAAAGTATAAATAACTTAATTGCATAAAAATGGTTGCGGAAAAAAAGCTTAACAAACAAATACATTTATCTTGTTGGTTAAAAGAGCATCTTTTTCTGTTCAATTCTTATGAAGATACATCATCACCAGTGATACCACCTAAATAAGTTGAGAATCCCATTGGTCCTTGAATGCCTCCCTTCCACTCAAGCAAGACTTTTTGTATCATTGGGTTTATAACATCAGTTATAGTGTACTTGCCAAGCAGACACAAGTAATTTTTAAATCCTCCAGCTAATGTTTAACTGTCGACTTCCACTGATTCCATTAATGGCTAGTTTCCCAGAGATGTTTTCCTCAACAGACCATCTGCAGAAAGGAGGATGAGGCTTAGGCATAGTGGAATCTATTTTTGTGCTATTTTTATTACTTTTTTATATTCTTAATTATATATTCAAATGATGTTTATAACATGTCTCATCTTTAGATTACATAGTTAATTATTATTATTTTACTAAGTGCTTTTTAAAAAGGCATACTTAAAGATTGCACAGCATTATTTTTATATAGCTTTTACAATTTCAAAGTTATTTTTTCAAGTAAATATGTTGTTAATACAGCATGCTATGCATTTACTTGTTTTATACATATATATTTAAAAAGAAAAATGAAATTAAAATATCTTCTTTTAAATTAAGACAAAAACAACGAAAGTTTCTAAATTACTAATAAATTGAGATTTAATTTTTTAATGAGTGTACACAGAGCAGATACATAAAGACACAGACATATACATGCATATGTATTGATGTATAAATTTATACTTTTATACAGATGCCAGTTAATATATAGAGTCAACAAGTAGGGAGAAGCTCTTCAATTGCATAAGTTTATGTGATTTTTTTACTATAAGCCATTTCTTTATAATTTTATAATTTTTTTCAAAAAAATTATAATTTTTTTTGAAACAAAGAATGTTCATGAAATTAACTAAAATGTTTGAACTACACACTTCATAAGTTCCCTACCTTAGCTGTACTCAAGACTCAAACCACTCTTTCATTTTATTTTACTTTGTCAGTTCTGTTGAATCTATGGGATTTTAGTTACCTTACAATTATCTTGAATAATAGTACTATGGTCTTTAGCCTAATTAACAGATTTGTCAATTGTATTTTTATGTTTACAAACATTAGAATAAACTCTAGTTTTAACCTATTGCAAAGGTATGTTTAAATGAGTAAAACATTATTGTTTTCTCTTAGTTTTAATACTAGGGTGCAAATTGTTTTTTTCTACTCATTTAACTAAACATGTATCTTCATTTATTATTTTTTTACATGGTAATTATTTAACATATCCTGTATAAACTGCACTCATCTTAATTCTTCTTTGGCAAAAGATATTCCATAATAATTGCAAGGGAACTGTTACAAATAATCCCATATACCTAAGGCACCAAAATGGATTAATCCCACAACATCTGGAAGCCACAGTTTAGAAATTCAACTACCTATATGCAGCTATTGCCAGAAAATGAGATTTCTTTCTCTCTCATCTTTTAGATTTTTAATTGTCACCTTCTATTCTATAGATATATTGTGAAGAGATTTAGGGAAATTCATTTTCAAACTTCTTTCCATATGACATAGGAGAGAAGGTAAAAGGTTACAGAAATGATACTGAGTCTCCAACGTTTTACGTGTTTGTTCCACTTTTAACCTATACAAACTTCTATCTATATTAGAGCTGTTAAACATCAACTACTCTATCAGTCTTCTACTTAATACTATCAACCACTATAGTACAAATTAAAACTTGCTTATCATCTCTATGATATTATAGGCAAGCAGTCCCATTAGTCTCTTTATGCTTATCTAGATGTCATTTAAACTTACTAAACTTAGTACCAATGTCCTTTGATAACTTGTATAAAGACTCAAATGCAAAGTTAACTATCCCAGATAAAATCATGTAAAATGATAGCATAAAGAAAGGAGAGGAATCGCTTAACATATACAAACATATATTTGTTTTGTTTTTGTTTCTTTATTAAGCTGCTGAGAGGGAACTCTATGAGATCATAAGAGATAGCTAAAAAGAAAAAGAATAGAAGCAGTAGGTTTATAGGAACAATAACCACTTACTTAAGCAAATACTGGTTCCTTCAGGATCATTAGGAATCCAATTGTCTTCTAAAGACAGGATTCTGCTACATGCCATACACTTGGTGTAATCTAGGGATTATATACACAGAGGTTAAGTAGCTCAGGTTCATAAGTTTTGTATCCCACAATAAAGTATTCTGTCTCCATAGGGACCCAGTCATAAGCTGATTTCTGTCTTTAAAAGGTGGAATAGTTTTCTCAAGAAAAGCACATAGTCTTCTCCAAAGCTTTCTCATAGCAGTAAGTGTCTGTGCCATGATATTTCCATCAGTAATTGACAGTTTCCATAAAGCTTTCTTATCTGCCAAGGAAACTTGAAATTGTATAAGATACACTAGATCATTTGGCCAAAGAAGCAGAAGAGCTGACACTTTTGCTCATACTTGATAGGAAGCCTTCTCTTTCTTTGCCCGCCATTGAGAGCTGAAAGCTTAAAAAGCCACTTGGTAAATGGATTATTCTGGGAGAATGACATTCCAGGCAGACGACACAGCACATGCAGAAGTTGTTGTGTCACTTCTATTATCAAATGTGGCCAATAAAGAAGTGTGCCTCTTTCTTTATAGTATAGAGTACAAGGTACACCAACTGGCCCTTTATTTGGGGGTGAAACACTTAAAAAAAGCTCAAGTTCATCCTCTGTCAGTCTAAGTTTCCGTCTATAATGGCAGAACTTCCCATAGACTTGTTTTGAGTATTTATTGTGGGCATATGATAATTATTTTATGCTAATTAATTCAGGGTTTGTTTGCGAATGCAGTAAAACCTAGCTTATCCTGAGTGATACAAATGCAACAATAATGTCAATAATTAAAACTAATTCAGAGTTTTCTATCTTTCATATTTATCTAAGCCAATTTATTCATTTGTATGCTAGATTTATTTGAGGGCTTAGGTTCTTTTCCAGATACTGTGATTAGGGCCGTTAGAGAAAGAGAGCAAGAGAGAGAAAGAGAGAAATGCTTAAAAACTTGCCTTCCAGAAATAGAAGACAAATAGAAAAATAAATTAAAAAATAAATTATGTATTAATGGTAATATATTTGGGAAGAAAAAATAAAGAAGCAAAATAAAGAATGTTGGAATAGAAGTTTACAATTTTTGACAAGTGCCCTTACTAGAAAACATTTAAGAAAATACTTGAAGGAGTTATTCAAGAGGAAATGAAGTTATTTGCAACTCCAGTTAGAGGGTACATAAAATCTAAAATCCCTAAAAAAGAACAGTGCCTGATCTTTTTCAAAGAAGAGTAGAAAGTATGGCCTCTTGAAAATTTGCTTGAGTTCCCTGTAGTTTCTGGATGTTAGAGCTTTGTCAGATGGATAAATTGCAAAATTTTTCTCCTTTTCTGTAGGTTGCCTGTTCACTTTGATGATAGTTTCTTCTGTTGTGCAGAAGCTTTTTAGTTTAATTAGATCCTATTTGTTAATTTCTAATTTTGTTGCAATTGTTTTTGGTGATTTTATCATAAAATCTTTGCCCATGCCTAGGTCTTGAATGGTATTGCCTAGATTTTCTTCTACAGTTTTTATAGTTTTGAGTTTTAAGTTTAAGTCTTTAATCTATTTTGAGTTAATTTTTGTATAACATATAAGGAAGGGATCCAGTTTCAATTTTCTGCATATGGCTAGCCAGTTCTTCCAGCACCATTTATTGAATAGGGAAACCTTCCTCCGTTACTTGTTTTTGTCAGATTTGTCAAAAATCAGATGGTGGTAGGTGTGTGGTTTTATTTCTGAGTTTTCTATTCTGTTCCATTGGTCTATGGGCCTGTTTTTGTACCAGTACCATGCTGTTTTGGTTACTGTAGCATTGTAGTATAGTTTCAAGTTGGATAACATGATGTCTCTAGCTTTGTTCTTTTTGCTTAAAATTGTCTTGGCTATACAAGCTCCTTTTTGGTTCCATATGAATTTTAAAATAGGCTTTTTTTCTAATTCTGCAAAGAATGTAAATGGTAGTTTAATAGGAATAGGATTGAACCTATAAATTGCTTTGTGCTGTATGGCCATTTTCACGATATTGATTCGTCCTATCCATAAGCATGAAATGTTTCTCCATCTGCTGGTGTCCTCTCTGATTTCCTTGAGAAGTGTTTTGCAGTTCTCTTTGAAGTGTTCTTCATTTCTCTTGTTAGTTATATTCCTAGGTATTTTATTCTCTTTGTGGCAATTGTGAATGGGAGTTTATTCATGATTTGGATCTCTGCTTGTCTGTTTTTGGTATGTAGAATGTGTGTGATTTCTGCACATTGATGTTGTATCCTGAGACTTTCCTGAAGTTGCTTATCAGCTTAACAAATTTTGGGGCTCAATGGATTTGGGTTTTCTAGATATAGGATTATGTCATCTGTAAACAAAGACAATTTGACTTCCTCACATCCTATCTGAATACCCTTTATTTCTTTCTCTTGCCTGATTGCTGTGGCCAGAACTTCCAACACCAGGTTGAATAAGAGTGGTGAGAGAGGACATTCTTGTCTTGTCCTAGTTTTCAAGGGGAAAAACTGTGCCAAGTGTATGAGCAGATACTTCTCAATAAAAGACACATGTGGCTAAACATATGAAAAAGCTCAACATCACTGATCTTTGAGAAATGCAAACCAAAACTACAATAAGCTATCATTTCATGCCAGCCAGAATGGTGATTATTAAAAAGTCAAGAAACAATAGATGCTGGAGAGGTTGTGGAGAAATAAGAATGCTGTTACACTGTTGGTGGGACTATAAATTAGTTCAACCATTGTGGAAGACAGTGAGGTGATTCCTCAAGGATCTAGAACCAGAAATACCATTTGACCCAGCAATTCCATTATTGGGTATATACCCAAAATAATATAAATTATTCTATTATAAAGAAACATGCATATGTATGTTCATTGCAGCACTATTCACAACAGCAAAGACATGGAATCAACCCAAATGTCCAGTAATGATAGACTGGCTAAAGAGAATGTGGTATGTATAGATCACGGAATTCTACAGAGCCATGAAAAATAATGAGATCATGTCAGGGACATGGATGAAGCTGGAAGCCATTATCCTTAGCAAACTAGTGCAGGAACAGAAAACCAAACATCAAATGTTCTCGCTTATAAGTGGGACCTGAACAATGAGAACACATGGACACAAGGAGGGAAACAACACTCACTGACATCTGTTGGGGGAGGGTGGGGCGTGTGGGAGAGCATTAGGGAAAAGAGCTAATGCATGCTGGGCTTAACACCTAGGTGATGGGTTGATAGGTGCAGAAAACCACCATGACACACCTTTACCTATGTCCCAAACCTGCACATCCTGCACATGTACCCCAGAACTTAAAAAAATAAAATAAAATAAATTGTTAAAAAAGAAATATAGCCCTGAGGATAATTTTTCTCCACTTTGAATATTTTGTTTCGAATTTCTCTACATGATGAACTAATCGTTCAAGATTAGAAAAGCTCCTTTGGAAATCTTATCACTTCTCCATCGTTTCAGTCAATATTTATTTTTTCCTCTATATCAAATATCCTCACCATCCAGAAAAACTGCAGATAAATATGCTTACAATAATGCACAAAAGCATGATGGAAACATGCTTCAAAGGGGAAATGGAAAACCAGTTTCATGGTAATGGAATATATTTAGCTATTGGCCAAAGGGTAAAAAGGGATGAACCTGAAAAGAGTTTTTAGGGGCTTTGTATGTAAACTCATTTTTACTTAGTGTTGGCTTCATATAGAAATATCCTCTGCTACACATTTTGAGATGGGAAGCAATTTCAAATTTGCCTCATCTCCCTACTTTTCATATGTTAGTGCTGAATCTGTGAGTACATTGTAAGTTTTTAAACTCAAGTATTCAACAAATTGTACCACACTTTAATTTTCTAATATAGTCCTCAAATTTTATCATGGTAATACAAAAATATATTTTGTGGTGGTCATAATTTTCAAATAACTTTTCATAATATCATGAATTCATTGTCCCAGAAGTGAAGCCTTTTTGCCTTTTCCTTTTTCTTTTTCATCTCCCTTTCTTCTTTACTTTTTCTGTTTATCCCTCCTTTTTAACTTTGTTATTTTTGAAGAGAAGGTATGTTCCTGAGACCTATTGATAAACAACTGGATTTACCAGTTAGCACATTTTTAAAAAAATTCTAAGTGAAATAAGCACTAAAGCTAGACTATTGTATTTTTTAAATTGTGTAACCTAAATAAATAAAGAATTTGTACCTACTGGGAAAACAACCTTTAGGATTAATTTTGGCATTGACAGATAAACATCCAAAGGAGTTCAATTTCTCAGTAGTTTCTCTATTACACTTTAAAGCCCAGAAATATAGAAGATAGATTTTACTTATGGACAGATAACTTTTACTGAGGAAAAGAGTTTGAAATATGATGAAAATTGCAAAAGAAATAAATGTTCACTGTGAAATAAACTGAACAAATAAACAAGTGGTTTGTGACTAATACTGCAAACAGAGTGACTTTTGTTTCATGTTTATGCAGTTCCTTTGAAGCTAGCCCCATATGATTGATCCTGAATCCTTGCTAAAAGCACCTATACATTCAGTTTCTAGTCATGTGGAGATTCAACTCTCCTGTGTTTTCTAGAATAAATTTAGTGGATTGACTGTGTTCATGGGCCATTACATTCTAAAGAGAGAATTTCTTCTAATAATAAAAGAAATCTTTAAAAGTAGGGTTATATGAGACATTTCTAAATGTCATCCCAATGAATATATCATGATTTATTCTTATGAGTAATTGTAGCAATAAAAATCTATTATTTCTCAACATTGGCAAGGAAAAAAAATGAAATTGTTACAAAGTAAACACCCTAAATCCTAATTCAAGAAACATTCATTTAAAATACAGCTGTTATATAAAATACTATGGATCTCTGAAAAGATTTGCTTATAATTTATGATCAACATTTTTATTTCAGTGTCTGTTTCAGTGTATTATCATGCATAATAAGTATTAAGAATAGTAATTTTGGCAAGTTTTTTTTTTATAAGTTGAAGTTACCACTGCTATGTATGTGTACACTTTTGCATATGTATACACAGATGCATCCATACATATGCATATATACATACATACCTATTAAATACAATTTTCAGAACATTTGTGCATTATACTTTCTGGAAAGTGGATATTGAACCATGTATTGTACACTAAATCTCATTTATCACAAAATAATATCAGTGTGTTATTGGAGTTTTTCTTTCTAATTTGTAGCTGTCTAGGTATGTCTTCATGCATTTTTAAATTTTCATTTATTTATTTTTTTATTATACTTTAAGTTCTAGGGTACATGTGCACAATGTGCAGGTTTGTTACATATGTATACATGTGCCATGTTGGTGTGCTGCACCCATTAACTCGTCATTTACATTAGGTATATCTCCTAATGCTATCCCTTCCCCTCCCCCCACCCCACAACAGGCCCCGGGATGTTTTTAAAAGCATACTTAGCCAGATATACTAGGGTAAAAAAAGCAAGTTAAATTACTTTAAGAAGAAATATATATATTTCTCAGTAAAGACATTAAAAACTTTGCATGATAGTTATTTACTCAGCTATTACTCAGCTAAAGTCTTAGAGAAAATGAGAACCCACAGAGATAAGCAGAGAACCAGAGATCATTTGCTTTGGGGTCATTTACAGAACCAGGTTTGGGCTTTAGTTTCCTTTTTAGGCTGCTGGGAATAAAAGGCAAAGCCCAAAACCAAAGGGAGAGTTAAATAGGAGACAAATCCTTTATAGCAGGGATCCCATGGGTTTATCCCTTCTGGAAGCAAACAAATTTGACCTCACAACCTTAGCTGACTGCAGTGAAAATACTATCACACAGTCAAGGAATTAAAATAATTATCCATGCGAAGTTATCATCATAAACATGCCATCATGTGGATTTGCAGCACAAATTCATATTATCTGCACTATGCAAAAAAACAAAACAAATAAAACTAAAAACATCAAGCCATGAATTTATTTAAAATGGTCATGGACTAATAGTTGCCCAGTTGACTAACTGAAAGATGTAAACCCCTATGCATTCTGGAGGAATAATTTATTATCCAAGTCTTGAAATAATTTTCCGGTATTTTTCCAATGAAAATCAGAAACACATCAAAAAAATCTTTGTAAATGTGTGAATATTTCAGTTGTCTATGTGTGTGGATGGAGATGGAGTGATAGAAAATGATGCCTTTCTATTGCCCCAGCATGGATCATGATACACAGTGAAGAGGCAGTAGATAATACTTAAAGTGGAAAATCAGAAATAATAAAATGGCATGCATAAATAACCTACTGAATGAGCTGAATTCAATGTGGTACAACCTAGAAAAAAAAACTTTATGTTTTCTTTCTCTTTCTCTTTCTGAATACTCTATGGATTATTTCTTCTTCACCATTTTAGAAAGAACTCTCCAACTGGCCTTTCAATTTTGGTGTACAATAGCATCACTTTCAGCCAAGAAGAATCTATACTCAGTTAACAAAATGTCCAAGCCAGTATCTTTAAAGGGAACTCTCATTCACTTTGTCTCCTCTCTCTTCTAAGCTATCTCAAACCTACGAATCTTTGTAGTAGGAGTGAAGGGGTGTAGTGACTGGCTGTTAAGTTCATGGCTGTGTCTCCTCAATTTCCTTGAATTCCGACTACTTCTCTGAAACTCCACCCTAGTGCTTAACCCCGACTGTTGTATTCTCTGGCCTGAAAATGTAAACCATTTTTCTTTTTTTCTTTTCTTTCTTTCTTTTTTTTTTGAGATGGAGTCTCGCAGCATGATCTTGGCTCACTGCAACCTCTGCCTCCCAGGTTCAAGCAATTCTCCTGTCTCAGCCTCCCAAGTAGCTGGGACTACAGGCACTGACCACCACACCCCGCTAATTTTTGTATTTTTAGTAGAGACAGAGTTTCACCATATTGGTCAGGCTGGTCTCAAACTCCTGATCTCAGGTGATCCACCTGCCTTGGCCTCCCAAAGTGTTGGGATTACCCGCATGAGCCACCATGCCCAGCCTGAACCATTTTTCTTACCTTAAGTTTAACTCCCTTGCAACCTATTCCCTATAACACAGCCAGGGAAAATTATTATCTGAGAACAGAAAATTATTATCTGAAGACAGATAATAATTATTGTATTTCCTTTTGGAAAATGGAGAGCATCTTATGAGTAAATCCAGGATAAATTTTACTGAAACAAAGTCAGGTTTATTTAGTTTGTTTTAAGATGAAACACACCCCAGGGAATAGCCAGGAAGATTTTAATATGGAGCAATTGGGAGGGACTTTATAATATTAAAGAAGTAATTCAAAAGATGGGCCATTTTCTGAATTTGAAGTGATGTTAATTTGGTGATTGGATATCTCAAAAATCTTTATCCGGAGGCTGGAATATTAAAGCTTGGTGAGGTTTGTCACTGGTAAGGAAGTAGGGATAATTCAAAAACAGGAGTGCTATGCATAGGAAGAGGAGATAGTTTTTTGATTGCTCTGTTTCCCGTTTGGTTGCCCATAGGGTCAATTTCTATTTCCTTGGAAAGAAAAATAGAAATAATCGACTGGTAGTACTGTTTATCTAATTGGTCTTTGAGATCATAAACTTGCAGGGTCATAATTATGTCTGCTTTAATGATAGAGGCAAGACTTTGCAAAATATTTGATTAATCTGAAATAGGTGTTTTGTCACGTGAGGACACAGAAATGAATTGAATAAAGGAACTTAAAGTGCTGAAAAGCTTTACGTAGAGTGATATACTGTAAAATATTTACTGAACAAAGAGGAAAATGAAGACAGGAGGAATCCAAAAAGGATAAAGACAAGAAAGATTTGAGTTTTGGGAGAAGTGGTTGATAATCACTGTCAATAGCAAGAATGTTGTCACACAGGAAAGGAATCACAGCATTAATATTTTAGATGTGAGGAAACTTCTGGGTGTTGACTAAGGCCATGATGTAGCCATGATAAAGGAGAGCTGAAATATGCAGAAGGTGAATAGTATTAGAGATAATGTCAGGTTCTGTTTAAGTTACCCAGCTTGATGTCAGCGTGGAAAAGGCAGATGTAAGGCCAGTGCTCAGTAATTTAATGAATGAGAAAGAGTTAAGGAGATGTCAGTAAAAATACCAAGGTCAAGAAAAAACAAAGATTGAAAAATTATATCATCTTAAAGAGGCCTTAAAAGAATGACAAATGATGACAACCTGAATTGAATTCTAGACTAGAAAAAAAAAAAAAGAGCGCCAGTGGGACATACTGGTAAAATTAAAAAATAATCTATGCATTATATAAATAGTACTTTATCAATGTGATTTTGTGATATCTGTCATTAAACTGTGGTTATTTGAAATAAGTCCTTTTTTTTTTTTTTTTTTTTTTTTTTTGACGGAGTCTCACTCTGTCGCCCAGGCTGGAGTGCAGTGGTGCGATCTCAGCTCACCGCAAGCTCCGCCTCCTGGGTTCACGCCATTCTCCTGCCTCAGCCTCCCGAGTAGCTGGGACTACGGGCACCCGCCACCACGCCCAGCTAATTTTTTGTATTTTTAGTAGAGACGGGGTTTCACCGTGTTAGCCAGGACGGTCTCCATCTCCTGACCTCATGGTCCGCCCACCTCGTCCTCCCAAAGCGCTGGGATTACAGGAGTGAGCCACTGCTCCTGGCCGAAAGAATGTCCTTTTAATAAACACACACACAATTATATACAAAATCATTCACAGGTAAAGGAGCAGCTCACTTAGAATTTACCCTCAAATGTGTGTATGTGTGTGTGAGAGAGAAAATACACAGAAATTGAACAGAAGTTTGGTAAAATACATAGGATACAAGTAAAACTTGTATACATGTTCTTTTTAATGTTTTTTAATTTTCTGTGTAAATTGAATGTTTCAAAATTCACTGTTAAAAATTGAACAGAATATGATATATAACACAATGCTAAGAGCCTCTAATTCACAGATGCTTTCACATAAAAATGGAGAAGTTATAATTTGGAAATAGAATCACAGCAGCAGGGATCGTGGAGGTTCCTATATAATCTCCTTGACCCCCAATTTTGTGAGATATGGAAAATGAGCACCTTCTACTTGAGAGAGCTTAAGATGAAGTGCTGTATTCAGGAAATGATAAGCTAAAATGCTTCATCAGTAGTATCAGTATTGATATTATTATTATTTTATTTAATAATGAAGTAGAGACTATTTCCTCAAGCAAAAATATGAAAGTAAGCTTGCATATGAATAGTTTGATTTTTTCCAGTTAGTATTGAGTTTAAAGATACATTATGTAGTTACTGTTCCTATGTGAAACAAAGTGGCTTCTACTGGGACTGGGCATAGATCTTTGGCTTCGTTAGAGAAATATACCCACCAATTGAGCCAAATGCCCAGATCCTGTAAACCTACAGTTCACACACTGAGTGATTAACAGTGTGGAACTGGAGAGGGAAATTGATAAATTAGTACTTAGGTCCCAGTTTGGAAAACACAACGAAATGAAAAGTAAAGGAAATAACATACTCAAATTTCAACTGAAATAGCCAGTATTTCTGCACTTAATTTAGTTTTCCATCCAGGTGTTATTAATTCAATTTTATTATGACTATGACATATTTCATGAAGATGAAATAAAATGTATTTTAAACACTTATTTTTAAAATTCTTTTCATGCTGATCTATCTTTTGAGATAACATCTAAATCTAATCTTATTATTTAAAAAGCAATTAAACAAAAATTTTGAAGTAGTACAACCTCATTATTTCTTTGAACATAGGGAACACAGTAATTAATAAAAGTACTTAATTTTTATACTGGTTTTTAAATGCATTTATATGGGCTTAAATAGAAATCTTGACCACAGAAGATGATCTTCTAACATTTGATAAATTGTTCCATAATATAAATTATGTAATTAATTTTAAGTAATAATTTGAAAAAAATTTTGCCTATTAGTAATATGTTCAAGTTATTTTCACAGTATTCTGTGCTTTGCCCTGTGAATTCTCCTGAAAACTAAATAACTATATTGTAGTAGGTGTTAACACATTATCAACTGTCGGTTTTGACAAAGTTATTAGATCTCCATTAATATTGTCTTAGATTTCAAGCACATTGATGTATCCTTATGTACATACTATACAAAGTATGTATTCTATGACTGAAAATGTATCAATCCACATACCAAATGGAGACACATAGCACATTTCAGTTAAGATAATTTGAAGAGGTTTTATTTATGTAAGAATAAATTATAAAGGTGTGAATAAGGTGTAAGAAAATTCAAGTGTTAGTGCAGATTCCTGCACTAGCTGAAATTTTTAAACAATAAAGGAAGGTTGAGGTTATAGGAACAAGAAAAAATACAGCTTTGAGGATTAGTTATCTTCAGTAAAGGAACACAACCAACTGTTGTGATCTTACTAAGAGGGAGCCTGAGGATAATTTTCCTGACCTATCTCTCCTTCACCCTTTAGATTTCCTACTGGGGCTAATCATTGGTGGGACTCAACTAGAAGTCAGAGGGTCTTGGAGTCCTGTTGATACAGCCCACATTATGTCAGCGTCCTGAGTCTAAAACAGGGTTGGCAGGGTTCAAAGTGGATGTGGAGGCCAAGCAAGAGAGAACTATATTTAGAAGACTTTGAATGAATTGCAACGTATATTGACTAATAACTCAATAAAAAAAAATTGGTGCTGAGTTTTAAATTAATTCAGGAAAAAATATGCAAATAAGGAATGGGTCATAAGAACAGTTCACCTGCCTGTTTCTATTTAGACCTTAATGACAAGGAAAGAGCTAACTAATTCAAAAATAGAAAATTTGCAATAGACAAATTCAAGTTTTAAAATATATGGACTAGGGTATGGTGGGTCTGAGTGAAATCTATATTATCTTTCTTATATTTTCCTAGGTACATGTGCTATGTATTTACATACACACAGTGTGAGTGCAAGTACACACAGTATATATAATACATAATGAATATTTTCACTGGTTAGCACACAACACCCCAGAACAGGACTTCTGAACAGGGCCCTAGCACCACAGTAATAAATCCTCTTCAAAAAGGCCATTATTGGAAGTGCTCCAGTTAGTGCTAGTTGTATTTTTTATCTTGTGGCTGTGACTGTAAATGTTAGCAGTCTGATTTAAGACAGAGTCAGTCACCCTTGCCTGTAACTAATTCTATAATTCACACATATGTAAGTTAAAGCCCAAGAAAATATTCTTATTACATATGTTGCCATGATTGGTACTATGTTAGCTACAGATACTTCAGTTTAGATTACTAAGACAGAAAAAGATTGTAAAGCATTAGATTTTTAGTATCACTTTTATGAGACCCAACATATTGAAATCACAGACTTTTTCAAAAGATTATTTATCTTCAAATTATATAATGGTTAATACTGAAACTCTATTCTGATTATATAATAAACAAGTGCTGACTGTAAACAGTAATAGTAACTATGACAAATTAGGAAATATAAATACCAAAATGTCACTAAAATACTGATAAAAGTTGGCAATCTCATTACTGTTTGGAAGGAAGAAGATATTAATAAATTTTAGATGTTTTAAAATTTTTCAGGTGACAGTTTAGTTATATTGAACCTTTAATATTGCAGCTTTTCATCAGTAGATGTTACTAGATGTGTTTTAATTGACAAAAAATTCATTACTTACACCAGTAACTGCTAAGGCACAATAAGTTAAAATTGCGAGTTTTTTAAATAACTATCACATTTTAAATATAATTGTTAATTTTACTTATGTTGAATTAATATTGTGACTAAAGTAATTTTCAACCTCCAAAAATTATATCTCTCAAAGCTTTCCATATAACCTATTTTCAACAAATTCTTACTAAATTTTGTACTCTTAATTTATAAATGAATAAATGAAAAACAGTCCATTATATTATTATTCTAAAAAGTATCAGCGAAGATACTCAACTCAATTTTTTAATTATATTTTTAAACGTTGAATGCATATTTCAAATAATTATTTAAAAATCATTGTAGTTTTTATTAACCACATTATTTGATTGTTCTTAGTCTTGCATCAACAATTTGAAGAAACAAATCAAATTATGTTTGCCATGCTTTCTGTAAAAATGCATCAAAGGTCAGATCAAAAAATAATTTTAAAAGCAATTATGGAAGTAAAAATCATCCCACATCCTACAAATATAAAATATAAAATAATTCAGGCCAAGACATAGTAAAGAGCACTCGTATGTAATATAAGCAAGTCAGTTAAAAATCCTGATAGTGTTTATTCTACAATTTATAAGTTTCATAAAACTTCTGATGTAAGAAAAATAGATTATTAATTTTTTAGATTATGAATTTAAAATACTCTAAAACATAGTGGAGAATAATAATAAGGGGATCTAAGCATATTTTGAATATTTACAATATATTATTACCATATGTACTTTGTATTACCTAAAATAAATTATATATAATAGTTACTGTATACAACATTCTAATATTGGCACTAATTCTGATTTACAATATTTATTTGTAGCATTTGGTTTTCCAAGAAAGCATTACTACAAGTAATTAATATTTAGGGAAATAGTTCACATAAAACATTGAACATACCCCAAACCAACTACTCATTTATATGTTTTTAAATGGATTCTGCTATAGAGATATTTATGATTCAACCATATTCTCGTGGAATCCAAGTATGCTCTACATTCACTATGTTCTTATCAAACCACAGGGGAAATAAAGAGCATATGAGAGGGATTTCCAGAAATGGGTGTGAAGATGAGTAGTGGCCAAAATGCAAAAGTTAATGTCAATTTTCAGATGAATATTGAGAATGAGTTTATTCAGTACTTTGGGAAATCTTTGTCTATATTTTATGTTATCCATTTATAGATATCTGTTATTTTATATTGTTTAAGATGATTGTCTATATTAGAAAAGTATATATAAGATAAATTTTGATTATTTTATACTTTAAATAACCAAGATGAGAAATAAATTCACACTAAACAAAATTCAATTTTCAAATTCTCATTTGCTCAACTTTATCATAGCATATGAAGAGTCTAATGCCATAAAGTTTTTAACAGAAAACAAAATAAAATAAATAAATATTAATGTCTAATAGACTTCTCAAAAAAAGCTTATAAAGTCAAGTGCATAGAACTAGGAATGATGTCTGAATGTAGGAATCAGAGCATTAGAAGTTGTTCCATATTTGGGGAGTGAGAAAGATTACATATGTATCATGAGTTTATAAAAATCATTGAAATCATCTGCCTGAAACAAATCTTAATAGACTTTATTAATTGGCTTTGGTTGGTTAGTTTGTTTTAATTTCATGAGCTGGTACATTTCCATTAGAAATTGGTGATTTGCCTAACTTTTCAGCTTTTTATTGTCTTATTCATCAATAATTTGATGGGGAGTTTCTTTCATAAAACACCTGTTTACATCAGTCTGATTACTAATTATCTTTATTACTATTATTATTATTTAATGTTTGTGATTATTTGTGTTTGTTATTGTTACACAGCTCTCTTTACTTTGTAAAAAAAAATCTGAAATGTCTTGCTTCTGTGGCATTTAAAATACAGTATATCTTCTCTGGGTACCTTGAAATTTTATTTTTAAAAATTATTTTCTTTATCTTAAGCCAGAACGTAACAAAAATGAACATTGTAAATACTTTCAAAATATAAAAGTGGATTAGTTTCAACGCATGTTCTCTGGATTACCTGTGGGCAGCGTTAAGCTGGTTCTGTACACATAGGAGCCACCAGAACAAAAAGTGACCGTGAGTCCTTTACTTTTGAGTCTTTCAGTGGTTTCGACATCTCATTACTTCTAAAGCAAAGGCTTTGTCTTCTTTCATCTCTTCGTATTTTGCCTTACTCTATCTCATAACAAACAATCTTTAGAGAAACTCAAAATAATTTCACACTTATTTTAGAGGTAAAAAATCAAAAAAAAAAAAAGAAAGTAGATTAACTTTTATAAACATAAATTAATTTAACAGCAGAAGGGGAAACACATTATTTAAGGGAAATGTGAAGAAAAATAGGAAAGAGATCTTGTATGGAAAATAAGCTTATAGTGTTTATTAACAAGTAAAACTCCACAACACTTTTTTTCTGCTTTAAATATGATCTGCACAAATCATAGAGATTCTAATGAATATCATAAATGTGAAGGGATCACCCCTTCACATTACCATGGTTGCCGAAATGTGTTCAAGTTTCTGTAGTTTAGAGGTCTAAATGGGACTTTCCCAGGAAGCTTAGCAGGTTTTATGAGAATTAGTACTAATATCTAATTATAGGTAGAAGAAAATGTTATGCTTTCACCTTAGACTATAGGAAAAGTAAGTACTGTGGCATTTAAATTTTTTTAATTGACATGTAATAATTGTTCATATTAATGGAATATATGTTTTGATATATATAAATGATTAGATCACTAATATTAATTGAAGAACTAATTACTATTAGTAATTTTGTATTACTGTATAGTGACTAGACCACTAACAGCAGTTAGTGATGTATACTATTTTCCAGGTAATTAGCATAGCCAGCATCTCCAACCTTTATCGTTTCTTTGTGTTGGGAACATTCAACATCCTCCTTCTAGTTATCTGAAACTGTATAACACATTGTCAACTATAGTCATCCTACGGTGGTATAGAACACTAGAAATTTTCCCCCCATCTAGCTATAATTATATACCCCTTAATAAATCTCTCCCTATTCCTCCCTTCCCACACCCTTCCTCTGTTCTACTTTTTAATTTCTGTGAGACCGACTTTTTTAGCTTCCACATAGGAGTGAGAATCTGCAGTGTTTAACTTTTTATTCCTGGCTTATTTCACTCATATAATGCCCTCCAGTTACATCCATGTTGTTATGAATGACAGATTTTCATTCTTTTAATCTTTTTATGGCCAAATAGTATCCCATTGTGTATATCACACAATGTGATATTGTGTATATCACACAATGTGATATTGTGTATAGATCACATTCTCCTCATCAATTTATCTGTTTTTGGACACCTATAGGTTAACTCACTACTGTGAATAGTTCTGCAGTGAACATGGGGATGCAGATGTTCAACATACTGATCTTATTTTTCATTTGGATAAATGCCCAGTAGTTGGAATTGCTGGCTCATATGGTCATTCTTTTTTTAGTTTTTTGAGGAATCTTCATACTGTTTTCCATAGTGGCTGTACTAGTTTACATTCAAACCACTAGTATATAAGGGTTCCCTTTTATCTGCGTCCTCTCCAGCATTTTATATTTTTGTCTTTTAGAGAATGCCCACAACACTTTTGTTTTCTTCGAGATTGTCTGTTTAGATAACTTGTCCATTTTTTAATCAGTTTTTTTTTAGTGTTGAGATGTTTGAGTTCATTGGATATTGTGAATATTAAACACCCGTTGAATGAATAGTTTGCAAATATTTCTCCCATTCTGTAAATTGTCTTCTCACTCTGTTGTTTCTTTTTTATGCAGAAGCTTTTTAGTTTGATATAAAGTCGTATTTTTTCTTTTTTTGCTTTTGTTGTCTGTGCTTTTGAAGTCTTATAAAATATTTTCCTATATGAATGCCTGAAAAATTTCCCATATGTTTTATTCTAAGGTTTTTTTTTAATTATACTTTAAGTTATGGGGTGCATGTGCAGAACGTGCAGGTTTGTTACATTGGTATACATGTGCCATGGTGGCTTACTGCACCCATCAACCTGCTATCTACATTAGCTATTTCTCCTAATGCTATTCCTCCCCTAGCCCCCCAGCCCCTGACAGGCCCTAGTGTGTGATATTCCCCTCTCTGTGTTCATGTGTCCTCATTGTTCAACTCCTTTGAGTCTTACATTTGTGTGTTTCTTCTACTTTAAGTTGATTTTTGTATAGGATAATAGGTGTGGGTATAATTTTATTCTTCTACACATGGATATCCAGTTTTCCCAGCACTACTTACACTGATAAGTAATTTTATACAAAAATGGGAAAGAATTACATTTCAGCGATTGATTTTATTCAAGTATTGTTACCATGATCAACATTGAACATAATGCTATAAAATATTAATTACTATAAAGGTTATATATGTGCAAATATATGCATATATACTTACACTTATATAGGCATTTTCTGTATTTAAAGAAAAAATTTCATAAAATTCTTGTAATATAATTTCTTGAAAACCATATTTTAAAGTCTAATCAACCTTATTTTTAACATATTAGCTCAAAAAATTAATGAAAGATATCCATACCTAGGTATAACCTTTCCTCAAAGTCTTGGCTAATCTGGGATGAGAGCCTGCACAGTATACCATCCGAAGTGTCTAGTAATACATAAAAATGATTAAATATGTGATGGACTAGGAAAATATGACTGAAGGAAAATTAATAAATAAATAAATAATCCAAGATAAATCAGAAATAGAAATTAGTAGGCAGAGTTTTAAAGCAGTTGTTTGAAATATGTGCAAACACTTTAAGAAAAGCAAATCTTAATAAGTAAAACTAAAAATAGAACTACTAAAAAACAAAATGAAAGTTCTAAGAAGTTAAAATAAAAATTTATTGGATGTAACTAACAAAAGATTAAAGATGGCAAAGAAAGATTCAGCGACATCGTAGACAAATCAATAGAAGGTATACAATTGGGTGAAGTGGCTCACACCTGTAATATCAGCGCTTTGGACAGCTGAGGAGAGAGGATCTCTTGAGTCCAGGAACTTGAGATGAGTCTGGGCAGCATTGTGAGACCCTAATCTCTACACAAATTTAAAGAACTTAGCTGGTTGTGCTGGTGCATACCTATAGTTCTAGCTATTTGAAAGGCTGACGCGGGAGAACCACTTGGGCCCAGGAGTCAGAAGCTGCAGTGAACTATGATTATGCCGCTGCACTCCAGGTTGGGAGACAGAGCAAGACCTTGTTTCTAAAAATCAATTAATCAATCAAAAAAACTATAAAATATGAAGTACAGGCAACAACACAGGCAGCAAAACAGATTGAAAAAAAAGTAAATTTGATGCCTGTATCCAGTTGGTTCAGAATATGTGTAATTAGATTCTTAGGAAAGAGAGAATGTGACAGGGGACTATATGTGTGTATGTGTGTGTGCATGCGCATGCGTGCATGTGTATTTGAGGAAGTAATGGCAAAGATGTCCCAAAGAAGAAGAAAAATACAAATTCACAGATTCGAGATGTACAGGAACCCTTTAGCAGGCCAAATGCAAAGAGAATCACACCTAGACATATTGTAATTAAATTGCTGACAACTAAATAGAAATCTTGAAAGCAGTCAGAGTAAAATAGAAATGACACAAATAATGGTCGAATTCCCAAGAATCAGAAAATATCAATGCAAGCACACAAGGAATGGGCCAACATCTTTAAGGTGCTTATAGGAAAAGTGAACAAGGAAACAAATGAAAGAAAAGAAACAAAAATTCTATATCCAGTCAAAATGCTTTGAAAAAGCAAGGTGAATTAAAAATCTTTTCAGAAAATGAAAGCTAAAACAATTTATCATCAAAAGATCTGTACCACAAAAACTGCTATAAGAAATTTTCAGACTCCAAATGGAGCTGACCAAAAGAGAGGCTGAGACTAGATAAATACATTGAATAAATGCAAAAGACTTACTTTTTATTCTTCTCTTAATTACCTTAATATACAAGTTATAATTTAATACAAAAATGTAACCTTGTATGATTATGTTTTAACACATGTAGATGCAAAATATATGTCCATGGTACAACAAATTTGAGGTAAATTAAATACAAATATTATAAAATTCATACATTTTGCATAAAGTGTTAAAATATTGACCCTATACTGAGGTAAACAAACATAAAATAATCCCAACAGCAAGCATACAATAGATACAGAATGATATGGCAGAAAGTCCATTAATGGAACTTAAGTGGAATATTAAAAAAATAGTTGATCAATTCAAGAAAATAAAAATGATAAATACAAAATGGGAAAATTAAAAAATGAATCAATAGATATGGATGGAAAATTGTAAATATAAATACAACTGCATTACATCAAATATAAATTGAAGGTACAGTTCAATTAAAATGTACAGATTGTTCCAAATTGCCAGCCCAAACTCTGAAAACAAAAAATGATAAACCATACAAAATTATTCCTTTCAATAAGATGCACTTCAAATGTAAAGACATGAATGAATCACAAGTAAAATATTAAAATGTATCCCATGCAAACATTAATAATAAGCAAACTAGTGTTGCTATATTAATATCAGATAAAATAAACTTCAAGACAAGCCATTGTACAAGAAATAGAGAGGGACATTTAATATAAATCTAAAAAAATTTATGTCTTGAACACTAATTTTTAATTGAGCCTAATCAATAATTCCCACTCATATCTCACATATTGAGAGTTTTATTATTATTCCATACCAGAAATTGCTTACTGACCTAGGATTGGTATATATTCAATATTTTAATGTATCTGATGGTTAGGCTGTCACTACATAAAATATACTTTTGATCTTGTGCTGTGTAGTCTTTAACTCCCATTTATTTATAGGTCAATGTCATAAGAGATAAGAGGCATTATTAATGCTGCACGAGAGAGACTAAAGAATTCTTGTTCTGTTCTGTACAGGCTCTTGTGGAACAATGAGAAATCAGAGAAAGAACAAGAGGTCATCTGCAGCCAAACCTGGTCAGAAGGATTATAGAACATTTTATCTTTCTTTTGTTCCCTCAATCCTATTGTCATCATTCAATTAGAAGTATTATTTTGAATAGCTTTAATAGAAAATAAATGGACTTAATTTTTTCTGATTTATTGTGCCCTGCATTTCAAAATAAATATTAGTCACTGAGCTAAGATATATCAGACAACATCTGGGATACTGTGTTATCAATCAAATAAATTTTAAAGTGAAAATGCTGATATCATAGGCTGGATGCAGCCTCTTACCTAGTGAGGATCTGTTAGACAAATAGTGCTTTGTTACTGCTAAAGCTAAACAAATGTAAAAAGAAAGCAGAAATGGGTTCCCTTGCTCAGCTTAAGCTATGACAGACACTATCTATTCCTGTTACTGCTAATCCTATAATACTTAAGAATTCTTACCTTTAAAAAATTGCTTTTTATAAATATAAAAATGATGGCATGCTATCAACATCATCTATGTAGTCACCTTCTTCATACTTAGTAATACAAACCTATTAGTTAGAATGACCCTGCAACACAAGAAAAAAGAATATATTCCCCAAAATGAAAAGGAAACCAGAGTAACAGATAATGAGTGTTGGCTGTTTAAATACAAGCTCAAATATTTGCCAGAACATGGGGAAATCATGTCAACAAGATTTACAATTACTGTCACATTTCCAAATCAAAAGATTGATAAAAATTAGGGATTGAATTTTCCTGTTTTACCTGAAGAAATTCAGTTGTATACTTTTTAAATGTTAGCATATATCTAACTAATACAAAATTAGTTTCTTTTCATTGATATTTTGAACAAAATAATTTTAAATTTGTAATTTAGATACCTAGTCTGATTTTAAAAAATAATATTTCAAACCATTTAAAATGCTTAGCTACAAGTAGATAACAGTTGTTTTAAATCAGTTTTGAAAATCAAATTCCAAATTCAGTGTGAGTTTACCATTTTTTTATTCAAGAAATTTAAACACTGTCTTGACATTATGTCACACATTTAATTCAAACTAGGATTCCTTTCAATTGAAAAACAATTTTAATCGATTGAAGGCTTAATTTAAAGAATGACTCATTTACTGAATTATTTGAATTTTACACACAGATTGAAAGAGTTCACATTAAGTAAGCAATATACCATTTAACAGAGTTTTCTTTCTTGACTGGGGTTTACTATTGTCAAAAGTATTACAAATGTGAGCATCTTCTGTATGAAGCATATGACACAGGGCTTGCTCTCTGGTGAAACCGTGGTGGGAACAACTGCCATACAGGCAGTCACGGGAATGCCACCAGAGAAAACAGGTGACCCAGACCAAATATCTCCAAGAGCTGGAACATGGACATGTCTCCACTTAAAATGGCTTTGAGGTGTTGTTTCAGTCTGAGTCATAACATTGTCCATACTCCCAGTTTTTTTCCATGAAAGGAAAATGGAGGTTTTTTTTTTTTTGGAATAACTTGCATAATACCCTTTAGAATGTGCTATGGAGCATAAAAATACAAAGTTCATGTTTGAAAAGAAGTACATCGACAAGAGATCAAGTCATGTCTTATGATAACTAGCTTTGTGATATTTGCATAAGACATCATTTCTTTCAATTTCACTTTGTTCAGAGGATTATTCCATTAATCCTCTCAAGACCTTATACAGGTCTTGAGAGGATTAATGGAATAATAAACATAAAGTGATTGGCAGAAGACCCTTAGAAAAAGACAGCAGTTAGTTGTTATTATTTTATTTTACTTTACAAAGTAGTAGTGATATTAGATGTAGCTGATGAAAATAGCAATAAAATGCCTATATAAAATACATATATGAACAAGCTAAATGTTAGACCATTCATTCTCAATCATTTCAAACCAACTTCTCACATATTGTAATGAATTGTTATCATGCAATGATAAACAGAGAAACTGTAACCCAACTTCATAGGCAGCTACAAAAAGAAATAATTCCCTAACTGTATTAGGAAACATAAAAGCAAATTTAAGTTAAAAAATAATATGTCCTTTAATAATCATACCTTTGGGAGAAGACACAAACCTTTGCATCATATTAAACAGACAATTGCCACTGATAGTGGTAGGTGAATATCAAGAGTGGCATTGCCTTTGCTGATATAAGTTTGGGGGAATACTGAACAGTTTTTTATCATATGCCTCCACAAAAAATTATTTTCTGTATTTATACAGTTTTAATATTATTAGAAAACTATAGGCATGCAAAATGTGGTTCCAAAAACATTTTATTTATGTACAAAAGATTAGTTCTAGGTTTTATCATATATAAATACATATCAGATCATTCAAAATATGTACATGACAAAGATCTATTTTTCCACAGTGCAGAATATCTAACAGTCCTCATACATATACGTTAAATACCATCCACATGTGACAACAAAATGCTCATACAAATTTCCAGATGCCTCATTGAATGGCATTTTCCTTACTATGATACTCCTTTTTGCATAACACTTCCTATGATAACTGAGCAAAGAAGTCATCTTTTTTGTTGTTCCAGCTTTGTCAAAGAAGGATATTAAAATTAAGTGGCATTTAAAAAATTATCATACCTTGGGATTCAGATTTTGCAATGCCTTTCTTCTTTTTCCCCTTCCTTTCTTCTCTCCTTTCATATTTTCTTCTTTCTTTCAACCAATACTTATTAAACATTTATCATATTAAGAAGAACTCGATTTAGGCACTGATGATAGAATAGTGAACAAAAAAACAAATCGTCCTGTAGTCATAAAGTTATGAGATGGAGAGGCTAGAAATGAATAGAAGTAACTACAACAAAGTATGTGTGTGTGTGTGTGTGTGTGTGTGTGTGTGTGTTAAATTGAAGGTGAGATAATTTGTACATCTAGATAGAAGTATGAGATCTGATGGTTAAGTGTAGATTAGAAAAAAAGGAAGAGACAAAAAGCAGAATGAAGTGAGAGAGGCTCACAAGGTTGATGACTATTTTACATAGGAAAGTTACTAATGACATCTCTCAGGAAGTACCATTTGAAAAATACTGATGTGACACTGTGATAAGATCTGAGGGAAATGTTTCTCTGGTGAAAAAATCCAAGAGTAAAGTTCCTAGGTAAGGCAGAACTGGCTTAGCATTCTTATGGAGTGAAAAGTAGCAAGCCTATCTAACATGAAGTGTGTGATAATGGGAAGGTAAATGAGAGATTAATTTGGAAAGGTCTTGAGAAGACAGTTTGTACAGGGCATTGTAGGAGTTTAAACCTCATTGTAAGAGAGATGAGAAACTGTAAGAAGGTTTGATATTTGAAAGCATAACTCCAGATAAGGAATTGAGTAGAACTCTGAAATGGGAGATTGTATTGTTGAGGCTGCATGAAGGTAGAACAGACGGTATTCGATGGTGTATTGGTGAGGTAGAAAGAGTAAAATCAAACATTATCATGTTTGAGAATGAACATCTAGGTGAATAATGGTACAATTTACTGCAATGCAAAAGACACAGGGAGTAGGTTGTGACAGGGACATGGTAGAGTTGAAACAAGATGTTTGGAGATATTATGCTTGAATTTCCCATTCAATATCCAAGTGAAAAATCAAGCAGGAAGTAAAACTAAGTAAAATATATAAATTTTGAGCTTAGGCATGAGTCATTACTAGAGAAATAAATTGATTTCTCATCAGTAGCTTATGTGGATCTTTGGGAAATAAAATGGAATCTAATAAAGGACTTTAACTACAGAAATTACAAATATTTTCAAAAAATATTAAACCATAAAATGACTAAAATATTTTAATTGGGCAAGATCAAATAAATTGTTTGTGATTGTTAACTAACAGTTATCACTACTTAAACAGTATTAAAATATTTTCTGTCACTGACACATAATAATTTCCATGAAATTAACAGAAAAAAATGCAAAAAGGAGGTTAATTGGTTTTCTCTAATGTTAAGAGTAATAAACAAAGCTTTTATGTTATCCTGTGATTTCTCACAAAGGAGACATGCATGGTTTTGTAATTATAAAATATATTATTTGTGAAATAGTGTATCATAAAGATTAATCTGCTGGCAATGTGTAGAATAAATTAATATCAACTAGGGGCACGTTGAGACATAAAAGGTAGACCATCAGTTGGAAAGCTACTGCATCACTGAATCTTTTAATAAGGTGATTAAAACCTCCCTGGTTAGCAGAAAGTTTATGTGTGTGTGTGTCAGGCAAATTTAAAGAAATGATATCTTGGATGAGATCATCATGAAGTCTTGGATGCTTAACGTTTAATAAATATAACACTGTCCCTTGATGTTCTGTTTTGTGTTACTTATTAGCAAAACTAAAACTCAAATTAAACACATCACCTATTCCACACATGCAAATTTATGAACACAAATGACTAGAAAAAAACACATAATTGTGTCTATCAGTTACAATTTAATTCGGGAAAACAATGTTCAAAATGATTCAGAGATCCTTTTCAGAGAAGTAAATACTGAGATAATTTGTTACCAACAGAGCTTCTGAAGAAAGCGCTAAATATGGAAAGGAAAGACGATTACCAGCCACCACAAAAATACACTGAAATACACAAACTAGTAACGTTATAAAGCAATGACATAAACAAGTCTGCAATATAACTAGCTAACATCATGATGAGAAGATTAAATCTACACACATCAATACTAACCTTACATGTAAATGAGTTAAATGCCCCAGTAAAAATATCACAGCATGGCAAGCTGGGTAAAGAACCAAAACCCATTGGTATGCTGTCTTCAAGGGCCCCATCTCACTTGCAATGACACACATAGGCTCAAAATAAAGTGATGGAGGAAAATCTACCATGTGAATGAAAAGCAGAAAAAAGCAAAGGTTGCAACCCTAGTTTCTGACATAACAGTTTTTAAACTAACAAAGATGAAATAAGACCAAAAAAAGGGGCATTAAAGAAGTCAATTCAACCAGAAGAGCTGACTATCCTAAATATATATGCACTCAACACAGGAGCAACCAGATTCATAAAACAAGTTTTTAGAGACCTTCAAAGAGACAGACTCCCACACAATGATAGTGGAAGACTTTAACCCACAGACAATATTAGACTGATCATCAACACAGAAAATTAACAAAGATATTCAGGACCTGTATTCAGTACTGGATCAAATGAACCTGATAGATACCTGCAGAACTCTTCACCCCAAAACAATAGAATACACATTCTTTTCATTGCCATATGGCACTCTAAAATCAATCAGATAAATAGAAGTAAAACACTCCTGAGCAAATGCAAAATAACTGAAATAACAGTCTCCCAAACCTCAGCATAATCAAATTAGAACTCAAGACTAAGAAATTAACTCAAAACCATGTAATTACATGGAAATTGAATAACCTGCTTCTGAATGACTTTTGGGGAAATAATGAAACTAAGGTAGAAATCAAGAAGTTTTTTGAAACTAATGAGGACAAAGATATAACGTACCAGAATCCCTGCAACACAGTTAATCCAGGGTTAAGATGGAAATTTATAGCACTAAATGCTCACATCAAAAAGTTAGAAAGATCTCAATTTAACAACCTAACATCACAACTAAAAGAACTAGAGAACCAAGAGCAAACACATTCCAAAGCTAGCAGAAGACAATAAATAACCAAAATCAGAGCTAAACTCAAGGAGATGGATATATGAAAAAACATTCAAAAGGTCAACAAATTCAGGAGCCGTTTTTTTTTTTGAAAAAAAATTAATAAAATAGGTACACCACTATCTAGACTAATAAAGTAGGCAAGAGACAAGACTCATATAAGCACAATCAGAAACCATAAGGGGGATATTACCACAATCCCACAGAAATACAAACAACTATCGAGGATATTATAAACAACTCTATGCACATAAACTAGAAAATCTAGAAGAAATAGATACATAGATACACATACACCCTCCCAAGACTGAACCAGGAAGAAATTCAATACCTGAACAGACCAATAAACAGTGCCGAAGTTGAGGCAGTAATAAATAGCCTACCAATCAGAAAATGACAGGATCAGATGGATTCATGGCTGACTTTTACCAGATGCACAAAGAAGAGCTGGTATAATTCCTTCAGAAAGTAATCCAAAAATGTGAAAAGGAGAAATTCATCCCTAACTCATTCTATGAAGTCATCATCCTGATACTAAAAACTGGCAGAGATACAACAAACAAAACTTCAGGTCAATATCCTTGATGAACATTGATGCAAAAATCCTCAACAAACTACTGGCAAACTGAATCCAGCAGCACATCAAAAAGCTTATCCACCATGATCAAGTAGGCTTCATCTCTAGGAAGCAAAGTTGGTTCAATATTTGCAAATCAATAAATGTGATTCATCACATAAACAAAACTAAAAACAAAAGCCACATGATTATCTGAATAGATGCACAAAAGGCTTTTGATAAAATTCAATATCCTTTCATGCTAAAAACTCTCAGTAAACTAGGTATTGAAGGAACATACCTCAAAATATTAAGAGCCATATATGACAAACCCACAGCCAATATCATGCTGAATGGGCAAAAGCTGGAAGCATTCCCCTTGAAAACTGGCACAAGACAAGAATGCCTTCTCTCAACAATCCTATTCAACATAGTATTGGAAGTTGTGGCCAGGGCAATCAGGCAAAAGAAAAACAGAGGCATTCAAATAGGAAGAGAAGAAGCCAAACTATCCCTAGTTGCAGATGACATAAACCTATATCAAGAAAACCCCATTGTCTCAGCCAAAAAACTTCTTAAGCTGATAAGCAACTTCAGCAATATCTTAGGATAAAAAAATCAATGTGCAAAAGTCGCTAGCATTCCTATACACCAAGAATAGTCAAGCCAAGAGTCAAATCACAAATAAACTCTCATTCAAATTTCCACAGAAAGAAACAAAATACCTAGGAATACAGCTAACCAGGAAGGTGAAAGATCTCTACAAGAAGAGCTACAAACCGCTCCTCAAAGAAATCAGAAATGACACAAACAAATGGAAAAACATTGCATACTCATGAAAAAAAAAAGAATCAATATCAACAAAATGGCTGTAGAGCCCAAAGCAATTCAAAGATTCAATACTATTCCCATTAAGCTATCATTGACATTCTTCACATAAGTAGAAAAACTATTTTATAATTCATATGGAATCAAGAAAGAGTCCATATAGCCAAGGCAATCCTAAGCAAAAATAATAAAGCTGGAGGCATCACATTACCTGACTTCAAACTACACTACAAGGCTACAGTAACCAAAACAGTATGGTACAAGTACAAGAACAGACACATAGACCAATGGAACAGAATAGAGAACTCAGAAATAAGACCACACACCTACAACCATCTGATCTTTAACAAACCTCACAAAAACAAGCAATTGGAAAATGATTCCCTATTTAATAAATGGTGCTGGGATAACTGTTTTACCACATGCAGAAGATGGAAACTGAACCACTTCCTTACACTATATACAAAAATTAACTCAATATGGATTAAAGACTTAAATGGGAAACCCAAAACTATAAAAACCCTGGAAGATAACCTAGGCAATTCCATTCAGAACATAGCTATGAGCAAAGAGTTTATGACAAAGATGCCAAAAGCAATTTCAACAAAAGTAAAAATGGACAATTGTGATATAATTAAACTAAAAAGATTCTGCACAGCAAAAGAAACTATCAAATTAGTAAACAGATAATCTACAGATGAGAGAATTTTTCACAAAATAGGCATCCAACAAATGTCTAATATCCAGCATCTACGAGGAACTTAGACAAACAAGTAAAAAACAAACAACTCCATTAAAATGTGGGCAAATATGAGAAACTTAGACAAACAAGTGAAAAACAAACAACTCCATTAAAATGTGGGCAAAGGAAATAAACAGGCACTTCTCAAAAGAAGACCATGGAAAACTATGCAGCCATTAAGAAAAATCAATTTTTGTTTGTTTGTTTGTTTTGTTTTGTTTGTTGGCAGGGACATAGGGACGTGGATGGATATGGAGGTCATTATCCTTGGCAAGTAACACAGGAACAGAAAATCAAATATGGTATTTTCCCACTTATAAGTGAAAGGTAAATGGTGAGAACACATGGATGCATAGAGGGGTACAATACACACCGGGTCCTTTTGATGGGTGGAGAGTGGGAAGAGAAAGAGCATCAGGAAAAACAATGAATAAGTACTAGGCCTAATACCTGGGTGATTAACTAATCTGTACAACAAAATCCCATGACACACATTTACCTACATAAGAAACCTGTACTTGTACCCTTGAACTTAAAAGTTTTTTAAAAAGTATATACATATTCTCACAAGCACATTTTTCTTACTTGCCAGTATTTGCAAATACTGACTGTATTCTTGATGTTGCTATAGATGTAATACTATCATGATTCTGCCTAAATTCAATACTTTGTTTTCTTTGAGTTTACCTTCTCTTCTTTCATCTTTTGACTACTTATGTACATGGCCCGGGAATACTTTTGGCTCTCCCCCACATAAAAAAATGATTTTTCATCGTCATAAAAACATAGTTATTTTCCTATCTTACAATTTTTTAAACACATTTTTTTCTTGAATCACTATATACCAAAGCTGTTTCCATTTTTTTTGCAAATCTCTTAAGAAATACTTTAGGCTAACCACCTTCAAATTCTCACTTTCCATTCTCTCTTAAATCCAGTTCAACCAAGATTTCCCTCCTAGAGTTCCACATAAATACTACAATAATTTCTATGCTGTCAAATTAAGTGTCAAAATGTTCCCTTCTCAATATAATTTATTTATTAGTAGCCTTTGACAAAGCTTAACATGCTCAATCTTGACGCACTACTTCTTTTGGGTACTAAACACCACTCTCTCCTCATTTTTTTTCTACTTCACTAGTAGTCCTTCTCAGTCACCTTGACTGGTTGCTCTTCTTTTCCTATTCTCTTTTTATTTTTTTTCTCATGTCCTACGTTCAATACCTTAAAACTATATTCAGAGCGTTACTAGTTCTCAATACTTCCACTGATATGAATATGAATATGAATATGAATCTGACCTCTTGCCCCTACTCTCCACACACCACAAAGAATGCCTAATGTATACAGGTTTTTTTGCTTTTTTCCTTTGACCATCATCCCTCCCTCCTCCTTTTGTTTTTTCACCACAGAACACCCAGAGAGGCTGATTTAAAATGTAAGTCAGTCCTTGTGCAATGACTTATTGTTGTATTTAACATATAAGCAGAAATCTTTAGTGGGGCACAAAAAACCCACAGGAACTGATTCTTCATATTACTTCTCTGACCTCCTCTGCAACTCCTCTCTCTCTCTCTCTCTGCCCTTCCAGGCCCTATGACCTCCTTGCTCTTGGGCTAATATTTCAGGAATGCTTCTAGCTTCACATATTGGTGATTTTTACTCATTTTTCTTGGAATGTTACACACTAGATAACAAATACCCACCCTCCTTACCTGCTCCAGACCTTTACTGAAATTTCATTTTCTCCGGGATGCCCTGATTTACCCATTTAAAATAACAACTACACCTTTCCTGGGAACTCACGAACTCCCTCGTTGTACTCTGCTTTCAAAAGAAGCGAAACCTCCATTATTTATGATGTTCTAATATTGTATTGTCAATCCTCATTATTTGCAGATTCCATATTTGCTAATTCTACTAGCTGGGATTCCAGGTGCCTGCCACCATGCCCGGCTAATTTTTGTATTTGTAGTAGAGACGGGGTTTCATCATATTGGTCAGGCTGGTCTCAAACTCCTGACCTCATGATCCGCCCGCCTCAGCCTCCCAAAGTGCTGGGATTACAGGTGTGAGCCACCATGCCTGGCCTATATATGTTTATTCTAAGAAAAGAATAGATTTGTTACACCTCCACCTCACGAAGGCAGCAGTAAAGAACACTTAATTTCATGAAAAAAAATCTGCGTTATTTTGTTATGCTCTTATAAATTCAAAACATTTCAAAAGAAAGAGTAACAATAAAATGAAATTATTGCCTTATCACTTGTCTTTCCAAACAAGCTTCAACATATCTAATCAAAATGCTTCTCTTTCTTAGCATTAACAAATAGCTTTCTAAAGTAATCCAATAACTGTTCCGAAACATTAGACATGCTACAAAGAAAACATTTCTATAATATCTTTTTAGAGCATTGGAAAATTAATAAAAATATTCCAGGCTGTTTCAATGACAAGTACATTAATCTCTAAGCAACTATATTGATATTACAAATAGTATATTTTAAAAATATTTTTCATGACATTATAAAATTAATCTTTAAAAGAGCCTTTTTTGTTGCTGTTAAGCAAAGAAGAAATCAACTGTTTTAATAGACTACCTGGACTGACAAACAGCATGCAGGGAAATACCACAGAGTCTCTGCCACAGGAACCTCAAATATATGTCATCAAAGACCACATCCCTGGTCAAAAAATATAATGCAAAACAAAATGTATAATTGATTATTAGCTAGCCACTATTTTCCTCTAAAATTGAAATAGTGTTTAAATATTCCAGCTTATAAACCAGAGTATGGTAACAGAATAAATAAGAGCTTAAAGGATTTGGTCTATGGTACAATGTCCATTAATCAATTATAAACTTTCACATCACTGTTGTAATACAGTGTATCCTAAAATTATATGCTACTGTTTCTCATCCTCTTCTGCTTATTTCTACTAGGAGCTTTGTTATTATTTGCCTTACGGAATTATTGAGCAAATATTTTATGTTAATTTGTGTTGATGCCCTAAGAAATTAAGTCAGAATGTTTTGATTAATTTTTCAGAGTTCTTCTGTTCTATATTAACAGGAAATTATATATTTACACTTTTAAATGAAGGTTAAATGTGATTGCATTTCACAGTGCATTTAAAATGCAATAATTTTTCCAAGTTTCTTTAATAATGAGAAGTGGAATTTCATTAACTATTCACATATAAAAATATAATACGTTTTGAGAGAGATGAGGTAAAAATTTTGTTGCATATTAACTATTGGATTGAATTAGAATCTTAGATTAATTAACCTTCACTTGATCCAAAGCAGAGATTTTATTTTTATTTGGTAAATGTATCTGTTCTTTACATTTATGTTCTAAACAAGACTCATAACTGTCCAAATGGCTGGTAGTTATTTCACAACGACATAGGTTTATGATAGAGTTAGCTACGTGTCTTCGTTAAACACAGTATGTTTACTGATAACATTACTACATACATGAATTATGAAGTACAGATTTAATGCCTCTTGTTTCAATGGCTTCTGTGGGATTTTAAAGTGTGCTTTCTTATAGACAAATTTATAGTAATAATAGTAGAAGAGCTAAAAATTTATATAAATGACAAACTTGGGCAAAAACCCATGTAGAATTTTAATTCTACTCTATCTGTTTCAAGAGAAACATTGTATATTGCTTTTAAGAATTATTGTAGTTCTTGCTTATTTAAAAGATATCATTACTCCTTAGGGCTTGGGGCAAAGATGGCATAAAGTAAATCACTTTATGATGATTCAGACCAAAACGATTTTGCTAACAATAGCCATAAATATGAAAAATAATGGTATAATTTAAGATAAATATTCTAGTCACTGAATGATTTACTCTATTGTGAATCTATCATTTGTCACAAAATTTCATTTAAAAATAGCTAAATGTTTACTTTCTATTTGCAGTCCATTTTTTTATTTTTTAACTTCTCTTCTGCATAACTCATTATTGAAAGAATAAACATTTGAACAAATAGTAAATAATGGCAGGAAAGCCAATGAATGTCTTCCGTGATTTTCTGTTTAAGCTATTATAATGCAGCAAAACAGCTAAAATGATAGATAAGTACATAAAAGGAGAAATAGGTGGATGAATAAATTGATAGAAGGATAAATGGTAAATGGATAGGTATAAACAGATAAATAGATATTTAGAAAGCTATACCTCCCAAATACTTAACTATGTTATTTTATAGACATAAATTTCACTAAATTTTTATGTTTCTGCATGTGAAGTTTTCAGATTTTTGTCTATTAATTACTTTGACAAATGTATATTTGGATATATATATACATATACATAAGATAATGTGATTATACAAGTTATATGTGTACACAAATGCAACTATGGTACCTGTGATAAGAGGATGGAAGGGGTGGATCCACTGTTACTTGCAGAGGTTTGTAAACAAGGTCTCAAGTTGATGCTTGTTCGTGATAACTTTTGAAAATGGATAGAAAGCACTGCCTATACTTAGGGGATTTTTTTTTTCAAATATCACAAACCATTGGGAGTAGGCTATCATGAAAACATTTGTCTGTCACCATAGACCCCAACACATTCTGCAGAGGCAATCTGAACTAAGTCAAGCTTTCCCCTTAGGCATTTCTCTCAAAGATTTACACAACATATTCCTTTTAACTTAACTTGGAAGTTTCCCTTTCCTCTGGAAGACTAAATCTAGTGGCAATGCCAGAAAACTGAAGCAAATAAAATAGCTGCAGTAGAATCCCTAGCTTCAGTGTCAAATCCAGAAAAATGTATTTCTTGAAATGGCAATGTATGTCTGATTTCTATAACCATGTGGAGGTAATTAATAAATGTAATATTATTTTTATGAGTGGACATGGAAATATTTCAGTATTTTAGTAGATAATATACTGGCATTTTAATATGCTGATATAAAATAATATTTTCTCTCTGCCCTGGGAACATTTGTGCATAGTATGCTTCTGTTTTTTGAAAGTTTAACCAATTGCACTTGGGGAAAATATCAATCATTTATTCACTTTTCAAAGTAAATTAATTATATTTCAATTTATCCATATCTGTCATTTTATGAATTTGAATATTTGCTTAGGTTTTCAGTCAAGGCTTAGGCCATAAGCATTTGTGGAGGTTGGTAAGTCTGTTTTTGTGTGTGTGTGTCTGATGCTGGGCTTAGGAGTCCACAGGGCCAGCAGTTAAAAAGAGATGGTGGGTGTAAATTTGTAGCAGTCTGCATTGCTCTAAAGGAAAACCTGAGGCTGCGTAACATATAAAGAAAAGAGACTTATTCGGCTTATGGTTTTTCCGGTTGTACAAGAAGCACGGCACTGTCTTCTGTTTCTGGTGAGGACCTCAGGAAGCTTCCACTCATGATGGAAGGTGAAGAGGAGCTGACATCACATAGTGAGAGCAGAATGAAGCAAGAGACAGAAGGGAGGTGCCAGGGTCTTTTTAATAATCAGTTCTTGCAGGAATAAATAGAGTGAGAACTTATTATAGAGATGACACAAGGCTATTCATGAGGGATCCACCCTGAGGACCCAAACACCTCCCATCAGAACCTACCTCCAATCTTTGTGATCCAATTTCTACATGAGGATTTGAGGAGACACACATCCAAACTATATCATTTCACCCCAAAAGCTTGTATCCTTCTCACATTGCAAAATACAATCACTCTTCCTCAATCGTCCCCAAAAGTCTTATTTCAGCACCAACTCAAAGATCCAAAGTCAAAAGCCTTGAGAGTCAAGGCAAGTTCCTTCCAGCTCTGTGCCTATAAGTTCAAAAACAAGTTATTTACTTCCAACATACAATGGTGGTAGAGGCAGAGGGTAAACATTCCCATTCAAAAGGGAGAAATCAAACAAATAAAAAGGGTAACAGGCCACATGCACAACCTAGCAGGGCAGACATTAAATATAAGCTCCAAAATGATTTTCCTTGACTCCATGTCAGGCATCCTAGGCACACTGGTGTAACAGGTGGGCTCCAAGGCCTCAGGCAATTCTGTCTCCCCAGCTCTGCTGCGTGTAGGCCGTGTGGCTATTCTTAGGGTTTGAGGCAATTGCCTGCAGCTTTTCCAGGCTACAGGTGTGCATGCTGCTCGAGGCTCTAACTTGCTGGGGTCTGGAGGGATGTGGCTCCATTCTCACAACTCTTTTAGGCAGTCTCCCAGTGGGAACTGTTTGTGGAGCCACCAACCCCACATTTCACCTCAGTACTGCCTTAGTAAAGCCTCTCTGCAGAAGCTCTGTCCCTACGGCAGGCTTCTGTCTGGGCACCCATGTTTTTCCGTATATCCTCTGAAACCTTGGAAATGGCCAAGCTTCTACCATTCTTGCATTCTAGGCACCTAAAACTTAATCCCACATGGGAGCTGCCAAGGCTTATGGCGTGTGCCCCCACAAAGTAATTATCCAAGCAGTACCTAGGACCCTTTGAGCTGAGCCTAGATCCAGAGCAGCCTGGTCAGGGGTTTGGTGGGGAGCAGCACTCTGAGTTAGCACAGGCAACCTGGGCTTGCCTCCTCCCCAGACCATTCTATTCTTCTGGGCCTCTGCTCTGTGTTGAGAGGGGCTCCCTTAAACATTTCTGATGTGCCCTCAGGGATTTTTCCCCATTACCTTGACTATTAGCACCTGACTTGCTTTTAGTCATAATGATTTCTCTAGCAAGTTGTTACTTCCCAGTCCCCTTGGATTCCTGTCCTGAAAATGCTTTTTCCTTCTTTACCACATGACCAGGTTTCAAATTTCCCTGATTTATACACTCTGTTTTCTTTTTAGTTACAAGATCCAACTTTATATCATTCCTTTGCTCCCATGTCTGGTCATAGATTGTTAGAAGTAGCCAGGCCACATTTTGTATGCTTTAGCATTTAGAAATTTCTTCCACCAGATAACCTAAATCATCATTCTTAAGTTTGGCCTTTCACAAAGCCTTAGGACATGTACACAAAGCAGCCACGTTCTTTGCTGGGGCAGAACAAGAATGACTTCTTTTTTTCAGTTCCCTGTACATTTCTCATTTCCATTTGAGACCTCATCAGCGTGGCTTTTACTATCTATATATCTATCAGCATTTTGGTCACAACCACTTAACCAGCCTCAAAAAATTCCAAACTTTCCCTTGTCTTCCTATCTTCTTCTGAGCCTTCTGAATTCTTCCAACTTCTGTCCATTACTTAATTCCAAATGTCTTTATACATTTTCTGGTATCTATCTGATATTTTTAGGAAATACATTTTTCTGGATTTGACACTGATGCTAGGGATAGCAATGCCCCATTCATCAGTACCAATTTGTTATTTTAGCCTATTTGTGTTGCTATAAATAAAACACTGAGGGTAGGTAATTTATAAAGAAAAGAACTTTGTTTTGTTACCAGTGCTGCAGATCGTACGAGAAGCATGGTGTCAGCATCTGATTCTGGTGAGGGCTTCAGAAAGCTCCCCACTCATGGTGGAAGGCAAAGGGGAGCAGGGTTCACATAGCAAGAGAAGAAGAAAGTGAGACAGAGAGAAAGGAGGTACCAGAGTTTTTTAAATAATCAGCTCTCCCAGGAACTAACAGGCTAAGAACTCACTCCTTACAGTGAGGATGGCACTTCCTTCCTCAAAATCTCCCAAAACGATATTTATTGTGGAATACAGTCTCTGAAAACATACATATTAGTTAGTTTCCCCACTGAAAGGAAGAAAACCAGCAAATAACACACCACTTCACTAGCGTAAATGGAAGACAGGACCAAAATACTAAGTGATGTAGAACTGCAGTAGAGAGAGTTTCTACAAAAAAAAAAAAAAAAAAAAAAAAACGCAGAATTTTATTTAAAATATAAATTATATCTTATTGCTATAAAAATAAAGTTTATTTCAACCTCTACAAAAGAACAATTCAGAATCAAATCTTAGAGTTTCTTGCCCAGTTTTCTGCCCTAACCACCTCCCTTACCTTCTCTCCTTTACTTCACTCATTCCACTCCACTTCTGTTATGCATGCCTATTTGCTATTCCTGTAGCCACTCTTGTAGTGAGCAATGTGTGCTGGTCCTTCTGACAGGAACATTCTTACATCAGAAATCTCCACATTTATTCTTTGTGTCCTTGGGGTCTTTTTTAAGAAGACCCTACCTTCTTAAGGGCCTTCTTAAGAAGGCCCTACTATCACCTCCAACTTCCATTTGTAACACAAATTTTTTCATAACATTAATATCCATGTAATGTACTATATATTTTACTTATTTATCTTGTCTAGAGTCTGCCTCCACTCACTGAAGAGTGTGCTCAATGAGAATAATGTGTTTGCCTGTTTTTATTCACTGATCTATTCTAACCTTTATGAGAGTATAAAAGCACCCGTGACATGGTATGTAGGATATATATAGCTATAGATATAGATTGCTGGATGGATGTATGGCTTGACTGTATATAAAACAGTATACGTAACAGAATTAATGAATACCAGAAATATTTTTAAAAATTTACTTTGATAAATACTTTTCAATGCAAACAGGAATTGCTAATGCGTTGATGAAAATAGGAATTGTGAATGCATAGCTCTAGTCACTTTGCTTTATTGCTGTGAATAAGGTAGCTAAAACAAACTGACTTGATTTGCCTGTATACTTAGAGTTATAAGGTTAGTCATGTGTGCATGTGCATATGTGTACGCATAGTGAAATTTAGTGTCTCAAATAATTAAATATAATTAAGGTCCATGTAATAGGACATTTAAAATAATTTTCTGTTATTAGACAGTGCATAAATGTAAACTTGCACTTTCTTCATTACAATTTTCTTTTTTAAAAAAAGTAGAGACAGGATGATCCTCTGTTGCTCAGGCTCACTTCAGCCTCAAACTCCCGGGCTCAAACAATTCTCCCATTTCAGCCTCCTGAGTAGCTGGGACCACAGGCATGCACCACCACACCTGGCTAATTTTTTCACTTTTGTAGAAACAGGGTCTCACCACCTTTCCCAGGCTGGTCTTGAACTCCTGTGCTCAAGCGATCATCCCACCTTGGCTTCTCAAAGTGCTAGGATTACAGTCATGAGTCATTGTGCCTGGCCTATTTTCTTATTTAATTAATGTTAAATTTTTACTGTGAATAATATAAACATTTGTTGATGCCACAATTTATGCCTACCTTAAAATGAAGGCTTTTGTACACAGCAGTGAAGCATTTTAAAACCAATACAATATAATTTACTCTGTTTAATTATATGTTATGCAGAATTTAACTATTTGATATTTAGCATAATAGCTTAAAAACCAGATCAACCTTGTTTAGCCTTGTATTTTCTAATTTCCTATCTATTTGGTTGATGCAAAGGTAATTGTGGTTTTTGCAATTACTTTTAATGTCAAGAACCACAGTTACTTTTCACCAACCTATAATAAATTACTATAAAATACACACCGGTCTACCTTATTGTAAACATTTTGCTGAAAATGTGTATGTGCACATGCATGTAAAGTCCAGGATAAACTGGCATCTGTACTGTACTGGTTCCTTAAGTACATATTTTACCACCTATAAATTGCATTATTTATTTTTGAACTAATTCTCCAAAATATAGTGTCTGATTCTTCAGGTACAATCTGAAGAATTATTTTATCTTTGAACTAATTGCAATATTTATCTTTGAATAATTCTCCAAAATATAGTGTCTGATTCTTCAGATGCAATCATGACTGTAATATGGGAAAATATTCTTAAAGAAATAATATGCATTTGTCTATCTACCTACCTATTAAGAATATGAAACAGTTTGATTAATGTATATGTTACTTTTTTCTTTCCAAAATTGGATACAGGGAATTAAACTGTGTTCATAAGTATGCCTAAATTTGCATTCACCCATGATTATTTTTAGTGAGGGATAGAAGAAATCCTGTTTAATTTACATAAATAATAGAAGTGGCAAGTGGAGCAGATGTGTGATCTTATCCTTTTGCTTGTACAGTATTCCATTAAAATTTTATTGTTTTAAACAATAACTTTACTTTTATCCTCAACCTATCTTTTCTCATTTTATCGTTAAGAAAAAAAATACCTAACCAACAACACTGGGAAGAAAAAGTTGTGAACTGAATATGTATTAGGGCATCTTTCTATATTTCCCACAGAGACATATACAATGAAGACAAAATTAATTGTGAACTATTAAAGTATTGTTCTACAACTATTAATGTCTACAGATTTGTTGTTCTTTTGTTCTTAGTAGCAAATCATTAATGTGTTCTCTTAGAAACAGGAGTGCCAGGGCTATAATAAAGCTTGAATAATGTTAAGTTCTTGGAATGAGTTAAGACTTGAATAAGTTAAGTCCAATAAAAAATGAATAGAAATCAACTTCAAAAGAAAGAAAAATATTTTTAAAAATAAATGAGAGGAATGCAGTTTTATTCCTATAAGCCAATGTAACCTATTAGTATGAAAGAAGGAAACAGTGTCAAAGATAAATAGTATGGGATCAAATGGAACTTGAAAGTAAATTGATTCAGGACTGTAGTCTTCTCCTTTAAGAAGAAAAGTTTGTATGGGGAAAGAAAGATAGGGAGCAACAATTTTCCAATAACATAGATACTAATTACCGTTGTTCTTAAAAAATATTTTTCCCAAAATATATATAGATATTCACTTATGTATACATGCATGCTGCAACTATGTGTTGAGTGCTAACTTTACGATAGGCACTGGGTTATATGTTGGGAATAATAAAAAAGTATAAAACATGCCCCCTGCTTCTGCACAGGGTAGTAGAGAGGCTAAGACAGAACCACGTGAATTAAGTAGGGGAGAACCCTTTATGTGTGGGAAATAACCTTGTGCAGGGCATAGAGAGGAAAAGAGGGCATAAGGCAAGGAGAAATTAATTTAGTTTCCCCTGGGGTTAGGTTTCAACGATAAGGTGAAAAATTGTTCTGAATCTTAAAAGATTACCCAATGATCAAGAAGTTGAGGATTTAGGATGCAACATGAAAAGTGTAGAATTTTTTTTTTTTTTTTTTTGACAGAGTTTTGCTGTGTCGTTCAGGCTGGAGTGCAGTGGCAAGATCTCGGCTCACTGCAACCTCCACCTCCCAGGTTCAAGCGATTCTCCTGCCTCAGCCTCCTGAGTAGCTGCGATTACACGCGCCTGCCACTACGCTAGCTAATTTTTGTATTTTTAGTAGAGACGGGGTTTTGCCATGTTGGCCAGGCTGGTCTCCGACTTCTGACCTCAGGTGATATCAGTGTATGTTCTGATACATATTTATTATCAGTGTGTATTCTGATAGCTATAGCATAAGGTATTGAAAATAACTCAGATTTATACGGAGGAGATGTCAAACATTAAGAGTTTAGGATTTCAAGCAGGGTATCAAAACTTTCTGTAAAGTTCCAGATATTTAAGCTTTGTAGACCACATGGTCCCTATCATAGCTACTCAACTCTGCCATTATAGACCAAAGCAGCTACATACAATTATAAATGAATGGGCATGGCTGGTTCCAGGAAAACTTTGCAAAAACTGCTGGAAGCCAGATTTGGCCCATGCACCATAGTTTACTAGTTCCTGATTTAGAACGTGAAGAAGCTATGAAAAAAAATTTAATTACATTTTGGAGTACATATCAGATTTTTAAGCATTTTGCTGGGGTTTGAGATTCTAGTGAAGTAATCACCAAAATAGTGGATATAGTACTCAATAGGAAGTTTTTCAACTCTTACTCGTCTCTCTCCATTTTCCCTTTGGAGTCCCCTAGTGTCTATAGTTTCTGTCCTCATGCACATGTGTACCCATTGTTTAGATCCCATTTATAAGTAATAACATGCAGTATATAATTATCTGTTTCTGTATTAATTCACTTAAGATAATAATCTCAAGGTCCATCCATATTGGCACAGAGGACCTGATTTCATTATTTTTCATGGCTGTGTAGTATTCAATTGTGTATAAATAACACGTTTTCTTAATCCAATGCACAATTGATGGATGCTTAGGTTGATTCCATGACTTCACTATTGTGAATAGTGCTGTGGTAAACATATGAGTCTTTTTGATATAACGATTTCCTCTGGGCAGAAACCCAGTAGTGGGATTGCTGGGTCAAATGGTAAATCAATTTTTAGTTCTTTGACAAAGACCCATAATATTTTCCATGGGCAAAAGATATGAACAGACATTTCTCAAAAGAAGACATACAAGCAGCCAACGAACATATGAAAAAAGTGCTCAACAGCACTAATCATCAGAGAAATGCAAATTAAAACCACAATTAAATACCATCTCATATCAGTCAGCACAGTTACTATTAAAAAGTCAAAAAATAGCAGATGTTGGAAAGGCAGTGGAGAAAAGGAAATGCTTAAACACTGTTAGGGGTGTAAATTAGCTCAACGCCCATGAAAAAGTTTCAAGCATGGATGTAGTATAATCATGCCTATGTTGGAAGAAAATTACTCTGGAACAGGTATAAAAGGTTTGTGAGTGATGTGGGAATGCAGGCATGCAGAATACTTAGAAGATAATAACTCAGGACTAAATACCTGTCTGAATAATATAGGAGTACTGGATACAGGCAGACTAGATATGGGAAGTATAAAGAAGATAAGATCTATAGAATTTAATGACGGATGGAGATTGAAGTTAGGAGAATAATTAAAATAGGAAGGCGCTAGTTTTATGACTCGAATGATTTGGAGGATAGTACTCTTCAGAGGGAAAAGTGTTAGAGAAGAAAGAATATTTTGTGGACCTGATTTGCATTCATACTGGGAGAAGTATCAGGGTAAAAATGATGATTATATTTAATTTTTATCTTTACGTTTGATGGACCTTTCTGATGGTCATTTGTGACTTGAAGAGAGATTCTTGGCTAGAAATTACTCCTTAAGTACAGCTGTATGCCCCTTTATCTGCAGGGAATGTGTTCTAAGATCTGGTTGGATGCCTGAAACCACAGAAAGTACCAAACTTTATAATTACCAAGTTTCTCCTATACTTACATACCTATGATAAGTTTAATATACAAATTAGGCACAATAAGAGATTAGCAACAATTACTACTAATAAAGTAGAGCACTTGTAACAATACACTGTCACAAAAGTTACGTGCATCTGGTCTCTCTAAAAATATCTTATTGTACTGTAATTACTGATTTTCTGACCTCGGTTGACCACACATAATTGAAACCATGGTGGTAACACCATGCATAATGGGGGACTACTGCAGTGATGAGCTTGTAGGTGGTATTTGGTGATATTTAAGGTCATTTTCAAATGAGCTGAAAAATTTAAGAGCTGAAAGAGAAGAAGTCCAAGGACAGAATCATGGACAAAACTACTCTGAGGGACCACAAGGGAGGCACAGCAAGACAGACATAGGAAGAAAATTGACAGTCAAGATGTACTTATGCAATACAGAATAAATCATTAGTATATAGAATAACTATCATATAAATAGAATGCTATTAGGTTATGGCGAGTAACTATTTATTAAACATAACATCAAGGCACTCTAAGAAATGAATCCTAAAATCCAGAAATAAAGAATGGCTTTGTTTGTAGCAATTTTTTAAACAATCGATTTAGATATTTTGTTTTTTTTTGTTCGATCAAATATTTTTAGTGACTAAATTACTTTTAGAATATTGGTTTAAATGCACTGAAAATATGCATGTTCATTATAAAAAAGTTTTAAGTCATGCATAATAAAAGATGACAGAAGCATCATAATTAGAAATCATATTATTAAATAACCATACATATTTTTTAACATGAGCATTGACTCAATAATCTTGTTGACTTTCTGGGAAAGCAAAGAAATAGAATAAAGTACAGCAGAAAATTAATGAAGATGGAAGACAAAAAGAAATGTAGCAACAAACCATCTCACCAGCACTCCCACAAAAATAAGAGAACATGCCCATTCAGCTTAACTCCCTTAGTATAATTCTATTCCTTCAACGAGTAAACTTAACATATTCCAGGAACCACCAATGACTATAACATTTTTATACATATTTTTTTCATTTTTGTGTTCTCTTTCAAATCACTATTAATTATATTATTTCATATATTTTCTATGACTAAACTTTGAAATATGTACTTCTTTATGAAAAAAATATTGACAATTTCAATTATACCGTGTAATGTTCTTGTTTCAAATACAAGTATATCCTTCTTCAATCACCTATAGAGAATTATAGAGTACCAATCTCTGTCAGACAGCATATTTTTTCATTATCCAATTATCAATTCTATCTAAATCTCACTTGAGAGATAATTAGAAATATATTTCGAAGTCATCTGTGTTTATTACTAACATTTTGACTAACAGCTATATAAAATATATGAGCTTTAATCAAAGAATGACAATTAATGATGTTTTAGCACATGACATAACTGAATATTATTTATGCATCTATGGTAACTTTTTATGAATAATCTCCATTATAGTGGCATTTCTTAAGTAAGCTCCATTATTAAAGTTTTACTTTTAGATTCAGCACCGTCTTAGTTGTTGCTTTTGAAATTTAATAAAATGATCTTAAAATCAAAGGGCATAACAGCTGTGCTAGAATACAGAACAACTGGCGAGAATATTTAAAAACTTACTGTGTATGAATTGAGAGAATAAATCATAAAGCCTCTGAAAACAAGTTGACATGGAAACTGCATAGGAAAAGGTATGCAGATCAAAAGAACAAAATAAACTACACAAAAATATGAATAGAACTTAAAATGTGTGAAAATATTGCATT